>NC_000005.10:96776473-97079503 GCF_000001405.40 Homo sapiens | reverse complement strand
TGTGCCTTCTTCCCTTGCACCATTCTATTTGGTTATGCCACTGAACATTTTTGTTTCTATTCTTTGATTCCCACCAAACCATTGTGCTGTGCTTTGAAATAATATGCTACAGATTTCCACATTCTATACCAGCCCTTGTGTCCCACACCCCTTCTCTCTATATATATCCCCTCTGCCTACCAAGAAAGGGGTGGGCACTGAACAATAAAGAAAAGGGACACAAAAAGAGAAAAGCTCACATGGTGCCCATGTGCTGGTTAAGTTCTTGTTTTGTTTTTCTCAGTGGGGTTGGCAAATGATGTCTCAAACCCATGTGTCATTAAATGAATCAGCTCCTCCACCCTCACAATAGATGCTACAGATCCCTTGACGAAATTCACTTGGTCCCACAAGAGAGCCAAGGCACACAGCTGTGCTTCCTCTCTGTCATTACAGAGGTACAGAGTTTGCAGCAAAGGTGACATTTTAAATCTGTTAGCACCAAGGAACAAAGACAACTGTGATAATTTCCTTCCCCCTCTTCTCCCCTGGTTTCCCCTGATACAAATGAGCACCGACATTCTGATTAATTAGACTTTGAGCATTTAAAACAAAATACATTTCTGTATGCAGGAAAGTTATTCCAGTTTGCCTAAGTAATTAAAAGAGAAAGCTTCAGCATTATAATACCTGAGCAGTTCAAACTGAGTAAACCCTGATACAGGAAAACCTGTCTGATGAGAAAGATTTTCTTCCTATCAGCAAAGGAAGTTTATTTCTCAGGGGCAGATTTAATTACTTTATGCAAATATCATCAGCAAACGATCCAATGCCACTATGCTCTCTGCCCAATAATCTATATCATCTCCCCTGTTTAATATCCAAATTGTTAGTATGTGTATGTGTATATTCAGTCATGTACTGCACAGTGACCTTCCAGTCAATGTCAAACTGTACATATGCCAGTGGCGTCATAAGAATATAATGGAGTTGAAAAACTTCCATCACCTATGGAAGTCATAGCCATAATAACATCGTAGCACAATGCATTACTCCCATGTTTGTGGTGATGCTGGTATAAACGAACCTACCTTATAAACTTTAAAGTAAAAAAAAGTTACAGTAAGCTGAAGTTAATTTATTATTGAAGAAAGAAAAATTTGTGTTTATAGTGTAGCCTAAGTGTACAGTGTTCATAAAGTATTCAGTAGGGTAATGTCCTAGGCCTTCACATTCACTCACTGCTCACTCACTGACTCACCCCAAGCATCTTCTAGTCCTCCATGCATGTTACGTGCCCTACACAGGTGCACCAGTTTTTATCTTTTACGCCATATTTTTACTGTACCATTTCTATGTTTACATATAGAAATACCAACCATTGTGTTACAATTGCCTATAGTATTCAGTACAGCATGCTGTACAGGTTTGTAGCCTAGGGACAATATGCTATACCACCTAGGTTTGTGTAAGTCCACTCTACGATGTTTGCAAAATGACAAAATCTCAGAATTCTCCCCTTCATTAAGCAATATATTACTGTCTCTTTTCTTTCCTTGCCAGCTCTCTCCCTCTCTCTCTCTATATATAGAAGTAGATGTAGGAGAGAATTTACCACCTGGACACTTGAAGGAATTAATTATGTTTATAAAGATGGAAATGATTATAAAAGACATATTTAGATCAAATTGAAAACAAATAATCTACTTCAGTTAACCATAGATTAATGAGGGAGGAAAGTTAAACAGCAAATATGATCAAGTAATCCTCTACAGTTGAAAACTGCAATCTCATAAAACATTAACTCAGACGGTGCTCTAATTGAATGATATAATATAAATGCTTGCTATCTTTCATCATAGTCTACTTAAATTTTTTCTTTTTCTTTTACTTCATTATTTTATTTTATTTTTTTTTTTTTGTGAGACAGGATCTTACTCTGTGGCCCAGGCTGGAGTGCAGTGATGCAATTTCGGCTTACTACAACCTCTGCCTCCCGGGCTTAGTTAATCCTCCCACCTCAGCCTCCTGAGTAGCTGGAACTACAGGCATGCACCACAACACCTGGCTAACTTTTTGTAGAGACAAGGTTTCACCATGTTGCTCAGGCTGTTCTCAAATTCCTGGGCTCAAGGGATCCACCCACCTCGGCCTTCTAAAGTGCTGGGATTATGGGCATGAGCCACTCCACCTAGCCAAATTTTCTTAATTCCACACAATTAGAAGTTCTAATGTGAATCGTTTTACATAGCCTTGGTATGCCCCTGCCCTTCTGCCCAACTAAATTGTGACATAGTCACTCTACCACTTGTTAATTGTGACAAATTTATATTCCACAATGTACATTTTAAATTGTTTAATTTCTTTTACTTGTAAAATACATTTTACCAAAAAAACCTCACCCGCATATGCTTTTATCTGGATTCCTAATTTTAAAGATATCTGCAGAGTCATTTTACACTTGTCCAGTTGTATACAGCCAAATCAGAGATGCAATAGTAGATTGTCATCAACAGTTGTAATAGTAGATTGTCATCAATAGTTTTTGAGCATAAAATCAAATTCCACTCATAAACATAGGCGAACAAATAGAGTTATCTATGGCAAATATTCTTGTAAATGTTGTTATCAGAAACTTATTCTAATCCCAAAGTTATAAGGTAACAGTCACTAGAATTATTAATACAGACCTTTCCATTTTACTGGGAGTCTGCCAGCCTTTCCTAGCAAACAGACTTGGACAAAAACTCAGGTTTATGATGATAAGAGATAGAAGAAATAATAATTTAACTTAAATTTTGGTATGCAATAGGTATGTCAGATATTTGTTGACCTTTTCTGATCCACCTGATAAGATGTCAGTCATGGCTGCCCCAGAGATGATCTACTCAAAGCCACTGTATCAATATTTCCCCTCCTTCGAAGTTCTTCATTGACAGGAACCAAAATTGGTGGCCTCTGTCTTCAATTATTTTGAGGCTTATAATTTTCTGTTTCTACTTTAACTGTGTGACTTGGATGAGTCTTTTAAGATCTATTATTACTATTATTATCACTTGTAAAACAAGAATATTTTGCTGTCTTCCTATGCAGCAAGTACTATCCTAAGGGCTTTACATTTATTTATGGCACACTTACTTTGAAAAACCCTGTGAGGTAGGAACTACTATTATCTCTAGTTTATAAATGAGAAAATAGAGTCAGAGAGGTTAAGTAGTTTGCCCAGAGACACACAGCAAGGAAGTTAAAACTGTCTATTGCCATTGTGTAGATCTGAGCACAAATGCTTTGTCATCAATGGTTAATTCAGTACTTTTTTGACTTTAATAAAGCTGAGAATCACCTGGGGATCTTTTAGAAACATAGCCTGTGGTGCAGTAGGTCTGGAGTGGGGCCCTTAAAATGTATTTCTAACAACTTCCCAAGTGACACTGATGCTTCTGGTCTGAGGATCGTATTTAGAGAAGGAATATCATCAACCATGTCCTCGTCAAATTCATAGTTCTGGGCTGCATCATGGTACACGGGCCATGTTATTAGTTGTCTCCCACTTGTGTAAGATGTAGAGGAAATAACATAAGATGCCTGTGAGGATTTGATGTGATCATCTGAGTCTTGCTCTGACAATTATTAACATTCAGTTGCCCATTAAAATTCTTTGGAATCCTAGGACTTTGTCTGCTCGTCTCCTGTCAAATTCACTCCCCATCACCAATGGAGAGCAGCAGAGTTACTTAATCATTTCAGTCTTTTTCCATTCATTTCACACAGCTGTAATCAAAAACATAGGAGACTTAGAAGCCGATATGGAAATATGCTTCTGCTCCTCCGGGAGACATTTTTAGCTAGAAAGCTACTGATCTAACCTCAGATCCTCAAGACAATTACCCAGGAGCTGCTGTTGACTAACGAGTGAGCATTTGAAGCACGCACACAAGAGAAAGAAAGTGTTTTACACAAACACAAGAGCTTCATGGGCCTATATGATCAGGCCTAAGAAGACTAAAATATCTTTTCCTAATAAATATTCATTGAGCTAAGCACTTTGCTACATGATTTCTAATTAAATGTCATATTTTAATTCTCACAACTATCCTGTGAGATAACTTTCTCATCCCTGTTTTTTAGATTTAAAAAAACTGAGGCTTGAGAATTTTACATGACTTACCCAATGTCACATAGATGACATGAAATAGATCTGGCATTTGGCTCCCAGCCCAGTGTGTTCTCTCGATTATATAACTCCGTGTTATGTTAGTCTACACAGGAGCCAAGGTAAAGCCATACTTACCTGGGATTGCATTCCTGCTCTTAAACTTAATGGTTATATAACCTTGGGTAAGTTGTTTAAATTTTCTAAGGCTTAGTTTTTCAATATAAACGCAGAAAAGGCATGTCTAGGAAGAATTAGGGAAGGAAGTAATACCTGAGCCGAGTCTTGAAAGATAAACAGGAACTTTCAAGATAGACTGTTGGGTGGGGCAGGTTAAGAAAAGTGTACCAATGGGAACAACTGTGCAAAGACATGGAGTTGGAAGACAGCATGGAGCTTCAGGAAATAACAAATATTTCAGGGGTGCTGGCTCATGCATCTCTGCTCTACAAAATGGGAGCCCATGAAAACAAAAATCTCCATCTCCTAGCTCAGTACCTAATCCATTATCAGTACTTCACAGCACAGGATAGGTGTTTCAGAAATACTGGTTGAATGAAATAAATGAATAGGTGAATGAAAATATTTAATATTTGCTGCTAAACTAGAGGAAGATCATTGGTCATGTACTGGTTAGGCTGAGTGGCTTAAACAACAGAAATTTATTTTCTCAAAGTTCTGGAGGTGGGGAAGTCTAAGATGAAGGTGCCAGTAGATTTGGGTTTTAGTGAGGGCTCTCTTCCTGGCTTGCAAATGGTCACCTTCTAGGTGGAGAGAGGAAGCTCCGGCGTCTCTTGCTCTTCTTATAAGGGCAAGTAATCCCACCATGGAAGCTCCATGCTCATGCCCTCAGCTCAATCTAATTTACCCCTCAAAAGGCCTACCTCCTCATAGCATAACATTGAGTGTAGGGCTTCAACATATGGATTTTGAGGGGACACAAACATTCAGTCCATGATAGAGACTTAATCGCCTTGTCTAAATTCAAGATACTCTATCTCCTTAGTCGTATATGTAGGATTAGGCTTTTTTCTTTTTTTTTTTTTGAGACAGAGTCTTGCTCTGTCACCCAGGCTGGAGTGCAGTGGCTCGGTCTCGGCTCACTGCAAGCTCCGCCTCCGGGGTTCACGCCATTCTCCTGCCTCAGCCTCCGGAGTAGCTGGGACTACAGGCGCCCGCCACCACGCCCGGGGCATTTTTTGTATTTTCAGTAGAGACGGGGTTTCACCGTGTTAGCCAGGATGGTCTCCATCTCCTGACCTCGTGATCCGCCCACCTCAGCCTCCCAAAGTGCTGGGATTACAGGCGTGAGCCACGCGCGCCCGCCTAGGGTTAGGCTTTATATTCTGTACCTCACTCCAGATACCACATCTTGGGGATAAAAATAATATCACAATGACCACAACAGTATCATTCTCTGGCTCTGTCCTTCACTTCCCACTTCTAGAAGTTCCAACTCTCTCGAATTTCTCCCGCACTTAAGATACCCCCAGGGCACAGCTCACACTTGCTCACAGGCGAATTCCTTCTTACCTTCTGGCATCTGCCATTATCTCTTCTCCTGCTCTTTTGTGCTGTGTCTGATGAATTCTGTGGCTGCTGATACCAAAAGCATCAATAGTCCCTCAAAGATGGTCAAGATGAAATGGGAGAGTTTCCTAACCCCCTTCACAGGATGTGTGACAGGGGTGTGGCTCATCTGTTCAGCCTCTGTGCACTCAAACCCCTTACTGGAGGGGGAGCATGCAGACGGGCAGGTGCAGGAGGCGGGGCAAACACTTTTGGGCTCCAGCCCCATGGTAGTAGCATCCAGGGTGGGTGCCTGCAACTCCCAAAGCCCCAGTGGGCATGTTACAGTGCTCTTTTAGCTCTGCCGTCCACAGACAGCTCAAGTGTTATCCAGCCCAGTGCCCTCTTGGTACCTGGATGCTGGGTTCTTGTCCAGCATCCAGGAAGAATCAGGTCACACAGGCAAATTGAAGGATAGTGAATGCAAGAGATTTTATTGCCAGATGGAGGTGGCTCTCAGTGGAATGGCTGGGGAGTGGGGAAGCGAATGGAGTAGGAAGATGTTCCTCCCCTGGAGTTGGGTCGTCCTGCGGCCAATCTCCTCTCCGACTGTCCCCAGCCAAACTCCTCTCAACATTCAGATGCTGCTTCTCTTCCCTCTTTCTCTACCACGCTGCTCGGCCACACTGCTATTCTTCTGTTCCTCTGCTCTTCTATTCGTCTGCTTTTCTGCTCATGGAGCCTGCAATTTGGGGTTTATATTGGTACAAGATGGGGGGTGGACATGGTGGGCCAAAAGGCAACATTTGGGTGCAAAAACAAGAATGCCTATTCCCATTTAAAGTCATGGGTTTCCAGGCTTGAGGGTGGGGCCTTTGGGAGGGAACCTCCCTCTTCTACCCGGTATTTCCCTGCCTCCTGTCTGTATAAATGCCACCACTGGTGGCCAAGCCTGCCAAAATCGCAGCTGCTCCTGCCATTGCCAGGAAACTAAGACCATCAAGGGATGAGGTCTACTCCCACATCTTCTCAATTCAGGATGAGGTTTGCCCACTTTCCTGTTCAGGCAGTAGCCCCAGAGCTGCTGTCTGACACTCAGGCTGCAAAGCTGTGCTGACCTAAGCTCTAGCTGCCTTAGCAGATATCCAGGAAACAGCTTCTCTGGTTTTTACGGAATGTTTTTTGAAGTCTTTCTCCCAAGGACATGAGTCCACAAGGGCTGAGTATTAAACTTCTCCCTCTTTAACACTGATCTGTTGACTTTGGACCAAAGCTCCATACTAACATGCCTTTTCCACTACAGAAGACACTCGTTTTCCCTCCCAAATCCCCCAGATGGTGACTGAATGTCGGTGCAAACTTAACTTTGGCTCAAGTTGGGATTCCCGCTTTGAGGTGAAACTCCCACAGGCACAATACAAACTTCTTTTGTGCCTCTTTTCTACTCCATGATACTAGACAAATGGTTAATACTTAATAACAATAATAATACTTTTTAAATGGGAAACTGGTAGTATAAAGATATACCGTATTTATGCACTACAGGGGGAAAAAAGTGACTCCTGAAAATGCTAAGCATTTCAATTCTAATACAAGCAGCCTGGTTCTGTAAACCTAGCTCAGCAAATCGTGCCTGGACGTGGTCAGTCCTCTATAAATACATAATGCATGAGCAGCTGTCTGAAAGGCTGCTGAAGCCAAGCAAAGAAACCTCACCTGTGGAGGATGCAGGCCTGGGGACGTTGTAGTAGGTCATGATCTCAAAAGAATGACCATGAAGACTTTCAATACACAAAAAATTGAATCTTAAAGACAATGATGTTCTCTTCCCCATTGAGATCCTTTAGAAAAGTAACATGACATGGTATGAGAGATAATAGGAAGGAAGAGAAGAAAACACTAGATGACTATCTACTATGTTTCTTTTTACTATAGACTTGCTGATCTCTTGGCTAGTTCTTGAATGTTCCAGGAATGTTCCCTTCTCAGGACCGTTCCAGTTGCTGTTCTCTATAACTAGAATACACCTATCTGAGAAAATTCATATGGCTTGGTCCCTGGCTTCCTTCAGGCCTCTGCTACACAACTTGGTCTTTCCTGGCCACCCTTTATAACAAGAGCTCCCTCCCTACTCTCTGTCCCTGTACCAGATTTTATGTTTCTTCATAGCATTTAACTACTGCATGGCCTTATATCATTTGCTTATTATCTCTCACACTACAGTGTCAGGTCCACGAGGTGAGGAACTGTGCTTGCTGTATTCATTGCTCTGTACCTAATACCTAACACATAGTAGGTGCTCAATAAATAATTTTAAAATGAATGATTATCTAAATATAAATTGTAGTGCAAGATACTGTTAACCATAAATACAATCTAGTAAAATATTTTAAAAGCTGCTAAAAAAAAAAACTCTAGCCAATTAAATTTGAAAGAGTTTAATTGAGCAAAGAATGATTCGCGAATCAGGCAGCCTCCTGAGCCAGAGTAGACTCAGAGACTCCAGCACAGCCACGTGGTGAAAGAAGATTTATGGACAGAAAAGGGAAAGTGACGTACAGAAATGGAAGCGAGGCACAGAAACAGCTGGATTAGTCACAACTTGGCGTTTGTCTTATTTGAACACGGTTCAAACAGTTGGCCACGCTTGATTGGCCAAAACTTGGTGATTGGCACAAGAGCAGGTTACAGTCTGTTTACAATTCCATTTAGGTTTGTTAAATCAAGTTTAGCCTAAAGCTGCCTCCTTACATATTTTAAGTTCGGCCTAAAGGTTTCTCTGTACATCATGAACTATGACAAGTGGAGGTGTAAACAGGCCATAGTCTACACTTGTGCCAATTACTAAGTTTTGATGAATCAAATGTAGCCAACTGTTCGAACCATGTTCAAATAAAGCAAATGCTGAGCTTTTACCAATCCAGCTGTTTCTGTACCTCGCTTCCGTTTTCTGTACCCCACTTGTCCATAAATCTTCTTTCAGCACGTGGCTGTGCTGGAATCTCTGAGCCTACTCTGTCTTGGGAGGCTGCCTGATTCTTGAATCGTTCATTTTTCAATTAAACTCTTTCAAATGTAATTCGGCTGAAGTTTTTCTTCTATCAGGTTATAATTCATGATGTTCAGAGAAACCTTTAAGCCAAACTTAAAATATGTAAGGAGGCAGCTTTAGGCTAAGCTTGATTTAACAAAGCTATTGTCAGACTTCTACTTCTGGGTATAATAGAGTTGTTTCCCACAGATCAGCCCTGAGAACAACTAGAAAACTGAGTTTAAAAAATTATGTGTATGTGTGTTTTAGAGGCTTGGGAGAGTTGCTGAAGCTAGAGAGCCCAAGAGTGGGGAGGGGGTTGGTGCAGAAGAGACAGTAGATCATGGAGAGGTGAATTGTTGTTGGGCTGTTTTTTCCCTGGAGATATATGCTGATTTGCAGAATAGGTAAGAGGCTGAAAACATGGACTTTGCTTGGAGAGAGGGAAGCTTCTAGAATTAACAAAACCAACAGAACTTTGTCAAGTTAATGAGGCTGAAGAGGCAATGTTAGAGACTCAGACTTGATCCTGGAGAAAGAGGAAGGGTAAGGAAGGGTAGAGAATTGTACCTGAAATATGCTTGAGATAGTTATGGTTAAGCAATGAAGGCCAGAAGTAGTGGCTCACGCTTGTCATCCCAGCACTTTGGGAGGCCAAGGCAGGGGCATTACTTGAGCCCAGGAGTTTGAGACCAGCCTGGGCAACATAGGGAGACCCTGTCTCTACAAAATATAAAAATAAGTTAGCTAGATGTGGTGGAGCACACCTGTAGTCCCAGCTACTCAGGAAGCTGAGGTGCGAGGATTGCTTGAGCCCAGAAGGTCGAGGCTGTGGTGAGCTATGATCATGCCACTGCACTCCAGCCTGGGAGACAAACAGAGACCTCGTCTCAAAAAATAAAAGTTAAAAAAAAAAAAAGAAAGAAATGAAGTAGAATATCTTAAAAAATCGAGTGGACTTTTTGGAAGTCTTGCCAGACTAAGGCAACATGGATTAGTGTTCAGTCTCAGATGCTAAGGAGGTAAGGATTAGGAGAGAGTCCTTAGACAATGAACAAGCCTGTAACAGTGGTTCTGGAACTTTGCTGCATATTGGTATCACCTGGGAATTCCTTAAAAGTATTGTTACCTAGCTGCTACCCTCAGACATTTTAATTTAATTTATGTGGAGTATGACATGTGATTAATTATCATTCTATCCACTTAGTGAGGAAACAGCATGCCTTCTCTGGAAAAAAATAGTATTGAGTGTAGCATTTATGATTTTTTATGCACAGTGTCTTGGTTTTAATTTTTTAAATTCACTAGGAATTCCAAGAGACAAGGCTATAAGATTTCAAACTAAAAGAAAAAACAAATTATGGTAACAGACTCCATCAGTGACCCAAATATTGGCATAATCAGATAAGGATTTTAACCAATTAATGAATATGTTCGATAAAATAGAGAGGAAAATGGTCAAGGTAAACACAAAGATAAAAAATTATACCTGAGTTGGTTTCAAATATATAAAAAATAGTTGAATAGAAATCCCAGGACTGAAAAATACAATAACTAAACTAAAAACTTTATAGATAATTTCTTTCTTTCTTTTTCTTTTTTTTTTTTAGATAGAGTCTGGCTCTATCACCTAGGCTGGATGGAGTACAGTAGTGCAATCATGGGTCACTGCAGCCTCAACCTCCTGGACTCAAGTGATCCTCCCACCTCAACCTCCCAAGTAGCGAGGACCACAGCCACGTGCCACGATGCTGGGCGAGTTTTTAAATTATTTGTAGAGATGGGGGTTTTCCTATGTTGCCCAGGCTGATCCTGAACTCCTGGGTTCAAGTGATCCTCCTTCAGCTTCCCAAAGTGCTAGGATTACAGGTGTGAGCCATTAAAGACAAATTTGTAAAAGATTAGATATAGCAGAAGAGAGAATTAGTGAACTATAAGACAGGTCAATAGCCAAAATAAAATAAAATACATTTTATGTCTGTTCTTTCTTTGCTATAAAGAAATGCCTGAGGCTGGGTAATTTATAAGAAAAGAGGTTTAACTGGCTCACGGTTCTGCAGGCTGTACAGGAGGCATAGTAGCATCTGCTTCTAAGGAGTCCCCAGGAGGCTTCCAGTCATGGCAGAAGGCAAAGGAGGAGTAGGCATGTTACATGGCAAAAGCAGCAGCAAGAGAGAGTGGGGAGAAGGTGCCACACACTTTTAAATGACCAGATCTTGTGAGAACACACTATCACTAAGATATCACCAAGCCATGAGGGATCTACTTCCATGATCCAAACATCTCCTACCAGGCCCCATTTCCAGCATTACAGATTATAATTCAACATGTGATTTGGGCGAGACAAATATCCAAACTATATCAATGTCCAATCTTTCCTTTAAATTGAACAGAGGTTTCTGAAAATTTATATTCCTAAATATATTTTTTAAATGTCAAGACTTTGAAGTTTTAATTGGCTTCCTGTACATACCACAAAAAAGAATACCTCAAATCATTATTAAATTCCCTCATCTTACTTTTCTCATGAGTATATCCTTGTCTCTCAGCTGCAGATAGGATAAATTAGGGACAGTGAGAAGGAGTTAAAAAAGGCCAGCAGCCCACCATTTCTGCCACAATTTAGAGTACTATGCCTAACACGGTAATTGTATGTTAGGGAGATATGGCCCTAGCTAGGTGAAGTCCAGTCTTGTAAATAACCAGAGGGCCTGAATGAGGTATGGAATCGACTGGGGGAATCCATGTAGGGTCTAGAATGGGTCAAGGTTAATGAGAATGTCAGTACTAGCCTAGGCTAACTTGCATGAACCTCACTGTCCAATGAATATCCGAAGAGATTTTTGCTATTATTTTATGTGGAAATAGGACATAGGTCCTAGCACAGTTTGGTCATTAGTCTTCACGTAGTATCATTTGCCACCTCTCATTTTTTCTCAACCCTACTAAAAACAACTCCATATCCTACAAAATGGCTTGAATAGGAATATTTGTCAGAGAAGAGCCTGAAGATGACCTGAACTGAGAAGCTAAAGAAGCAGAAATATTCTTGTTTCCAGAACTCTAAATCAAAGCGATAAGAAACAAGAGATAATGGACAGAAGTCCAATGATAACCATAACTGTTACAGACATGACACAGATTTTACAGCACTGTCTCCTTAAAAGCTCAGCATACGTTGCCCCATTATGGTTTTCAATAATAAACACACTGGTATGTAAAAAGAGAAACACAGTACCCCTGGCGTGTAAATGATTTTCAGAACCTAGGGGTTATTGGGCACGTCTCCTGAGATTTCATTCACAAACAGGGCCCTGAAAATGACTGACAAAGAACAGTTGCTGTTACTTGTCAGCTAAGATGTGGACTAGTTCCAAAGGAAAAGAAAAGGCTTTTCTCACACTCATCTTTCAAAATAAAGTAACTGAATAGCTTTAAAAATAACAGCAACAAACAATATATCACCAAAAACCAGGTATCAACTGAAACAATAAACTTCTTTACTCTCTCAGTGGGTGGGAGTCAAAACCAACTGTCAGACTTGTATATCTGCTTCTTTTCCATTTTTCATTAGATTTTCCTTTCAAATGAATCTTGGTAGCTCTGAGTAGCAGAGAAGAAAGTCAGAAAAAGTGACTGCTGCATGCAGATATCAGTCCAAGGAAACCCCTTTGGACAATCCACCTCTTTCCCGGACTTCACAATACTGGCTCAGTCTCTCTTGAGGTCCCGTTCCTCTCTAAAGATGCTTTTCTTTTTTTTTTTTTTTTTTTTTTTTTTTTTTTTTTGCCACAGGAATTGTTCCACAAAATAAAATATGAGATAAAATATAGCTTGGGCCAAATGAAAACCATTAGCCTCTTGAAAAATCACTCCAAGGAAGGGTAAAGAAACATTTAATAAGCCCAGAGGAAAGGATGGTAGTTACCTGGGAATTGCGTTCAACTTTAAAGGCTTTTCAAATTAGATTATTTAATGAGTTGAAAGAATAGAAAGAACATAGGTTAGCAAATTAGTTAGTTTTCAGTCAATAACAATTAGAGCAAATGAACCAAGTTTTTCAAGGCTGGTTTTTTGTTTTTTGTTTTTTTTTGGTGGATTCCACTTCAAAATTCATTCTGAAAATCGAACAAAATAAAAACTTCAAGTGCTTTTTTGGAGACGGGTTCCTGAGATACGTAGGTGTCAAAAGAGAGTTAGTGAGACTGCATCTCTAAGGTTCTGTGAAATTCTGTGGGCTGGCAGTGTAGGAAAAGGACATAACAAGAAAGAACAAAGATTTTGGTTCCACATAAGGTCACCATGGAAAGGGTACACCTTTAACTCTTATTTTTAATGTGCCTTTAGAGTACATTAACTGTCTTGTTTTGATAACCAATAATAACAGTGGCATAATGTACCTTATGGTTTACAAATTTAATGGGGAAAACTTGGAAGAAGGAATGAATAAAAATGAAAAACACCACCTTCTCCCATTTCTTCCTTTTTTTAAAATAACTTATTTCTTAAAGGTGGTCTTTCCTTGTCCAAAGTGTGATCATAGGTGAAACTCCATTTCCCTTTCTGCCTTACCAACTCCAACATACTTCATTATAGTCACCGTCATGCCATTCATCTGTCGTCTTCTGCTAAGTACTATAATTTAGTAGGTGTCTGGTATTCCTGAAGGTAGTGTTTTTCATTAAAAGACACATTCACACTAGTTCTCTATACTCAGTTGAAGCCAGGGCTTGGTAATGAATCTATTATTTAAATTAATAAACAGCTCTGGGATATTGTTTTAAAATATGGATCTTATTTTAGAATCCAAGTGGCACAGAGCCTGGCTTGTTTTTCTCAAGAAAAATGTGTTATTTGTTTTACAACATAGTTATTTGCATTTTTTCTGCATCCTCAATTCACTAAACTGAAAAAGAAATAGAGATGTAAAAATGAAATAGAAAAATAAATAACATATTAGGGCCTTTTCTTTTTCTTTTTTCTTTTTTTGAATTCACTAAAAAACAGTCCTGATTAGTTCAACATTTGGAGCAAAGAGATATTGTGTGTAATGTCAGCAAAGCCACATCGGCAAGAGACCTGAGGACACTGCTAAAGGAAATGTTTGTCAGACAACTGTGTCTCAAAGACTCTTCAGTACTTGGAGGCACCTTTCCCACCCCTTCCTGTTTGCATTCCTCAGAGTCAGATTTCAGCTAAAGGGATGGAAATTAAATAAAGGTGCATTGGAGAACACATAATTAGTCCCTAAATCATAGGATCTCCAATTCATGAAATTTCATCAAAAGTTTAGTAGAAGTCTCAAAAAAATGCCCCAGGGCAGTCTCTCCAAGTTTTCTCCCAAGAATTTAGCGTTAGCATACACAAGTAATTATTACTTGATAATGCTCTTTTGTGCCAAGCTAAGAGTTTTCTTTAACAGTCTTTTCCACCTGTGGAATAAAATATTTCACAGAAACACATTCACCCAGACCTGTTCCCATGTGAAGTCTGCTTCAAGTTTTTTGTCAGAGCATCCAACTCTTCTCTTGCAATTGTTCACATTGGCAAACACATCACACTGGCAAACGCTGTGTCAATCTCAGAGCATCCTCAGGTATCTGTCCCCTTTGTGTAAGAGCCATCTTATGAAGATGAAAAATACCACTTGGAAAAAAACTAACCTTAAGGGAAGTGCAGACTTCAAGCAGTAGTATTTTTAGGGTAAATTAACATTGTGGCATAGCTTAAATATGTGCTAGTTTACCCCTAACTCCCCTGCCCCCCCCCGCCCCCCCCCCCCCACACAAACAAGACAGGAGAAAGTAATCAATAATGCTGTACTGAGAATTTGGTTCTGTGGAAAGAAAAAAAGACTTTTTTTCCAAAAAAGGCCTGAAAATGCTATGGGCAGTCACAACTAGAAGTTCTGAGACTCTTCCTGCTTGAAAGGTTGTGAGGAAACCACAGGGGCAGGAATTACGTTCACCAATATGCACCAGAGCGTACCCCAAGACTCACACGGAGTCATCCTCAGCAAACTGAAAACTCCACCCCAAACACGGGTGCCTTGACACAAATTGCCCCTAGGAAAGTCCAAACTATAAGCTCTGATGTTTCTGGTGGATGTTAGTTGTGTTTCTAAATTCATCACAAATTATTTTAATAAAGTACCGTGTAATTAGAATTAATGAAAATTTACATCAAACCTCTTGCTAAATATAATTGTACAAAAGTTACAACTTTAAGTAATTAATGGTTCATCTTTGTCTTCTTTATCACTCAAGGAAAACTCTAGGCTGCAAATTTCCAAAGGAACTTCTTTAGTAATACGAGGAACTGTTATCTATGATTTGAGAACATCACACATTTTTTTTTTTTTTTTGAGATGAAGTTTCGCTGTTGTTGCCCAGGCTGGAGCGCAATGGCGTGATCTCGGCTCACCGCAACATCCACCTCCTGGGTTCAAGTGATTATCCTGCCTCAGCCTCCCAAGTAGCTGGGATTACAGGCGCCCATCACCACGCCTGGCTAATTTTTTGTATATTTAGTAGAGACAGGGTTTCACCATGTTGACCAGGCTGGTCTTGAACTTCTGACCTCAGGTGATCCACCTGCCTTGGCCTCCCAAAGTGCTGGGATTACAGGCGTGAGCCACCGTGCCCGGCTGAGAAACCACCACACTTCTAAAGCAAATCCAATCTTTCAAAGGTAGAATGTGACATATAAAGTGACAATGCAATTTCACAGGATGTTAAAAAACATTCTGAATCTCTGAACTTCTTGCCATTTATTGAAAGTTAATCACTTAAAGATTTCCAAATGCCCATTCAGTCAGGCACTGTGTTGAGTGCTCAAGTAAACAAGAATGCACCATTTTTTAATCTTGGCATCTCCCTAACCTGCCCCAGGAGAAGGCTGAGTCCTCCAAAGAGACACAGCAGCATGGTCAGAGTACTAACAGGTAAAAGGGAGAATCCACGGGTTATAAGAGTGTACTACTAGAGAAAATAGGGGAGCAAATACTTCCTACCAACAAGAGCTGTTGTAGGTCAAGAGGAAAGGGTATGTGTGTTTCTCCCAAGTCACAGGATCATGAAAGATACTTTAGAGCAATATTTCCAAGAGTGAGAACCACAGTGTACAAGGAGAGGATTCGTTGTAGGTAAGAGACACCATTCTATTAGTAGTTACCTTAGGCAGAAAGAAACTTAATTCAGGAAATTGTTGAATACCTAGAATAATAGGCTTTAGAATGGATTTTTAGGAATGAGTTTCAGAATAACATTGCTCAACTGGCAGGCTAAAGGAACTGTTGCCCTAGCTATAGGCAATGAGCTGGGAATCTCAAAGCTGCCATGGCAACTGCTGGCTTCATGATTGAACTGCCTTAAATCTGGGAATCAAGAAGCTGCCTCTGCAAGCATGCCTCTTCAGCTGTCCCAGAAACACTCCACCCTACTGTGAATCCAGGGACTAGAAGTTATTGCTGGAACTTTTGGCTCCAAAGTCATTCTGTATCTACTATATCTGGATAGCTAAACTGGTGCCTCATACCCCACTACCTCTTCTCCGACTACTTCTGGACTCAAATCTTACACTAGTGCAACTAATTGATGAAATCTAAATCCATTTGAAATCACAGTAGCAAAGGAATATGGAAAAGGTTTTTAGTTTCCTTAATTTGATATATCTTAATATGCTAATGTGTGATATCAATCTCCAAAAATGAAATATGGGGCACAGCAACTCCTGAATTTAATTGATCATCAGCCTCTGCCTTTAGCAAGCATCTTGCAGTACTGGAACCAGAACTCTGGCTCCCAGTTCCCAGCTCTGTACCCTACAGCTTATCTTCCTAGAAGAAAATATGTTGTTTCATATTCAGGCTTTTGCCATAGCTAACTTACTAGAATGTAGTCATGCTCATAAATTATATCTGATATGGAGTTACATTAAAAGATAATTTTGACTTTTAAATAAATTTATGGTTTAAAGATGACTTTATAACAATTATGTGTGCATTTGTAAATGGAGGAATAGAAAAATTATCAGAATAAAACACCCTCAGAAATATATACTGTATTTTTTTTTCTAAACACAGATCAAATAGTATGGACTGATGGTATTAGCATTTAAAATAATAATAACAGGAGGGAAACCACATCATCATTCTTGTTTGAATCCCTTCTCTTTGTGTAGGCCATTTACCCTCAAGGAAATTTCACAGAATGGCTCTGCACCCTGTGGACAACCATTCCTGGACACAGTGAAGTGTCATTAAGTTGACAGGGAGCCCATCAGCGCAGCACCTAATTACTTCCACAGGCAGGTTGCTCCAGCATGAAACAGGGCCCCAGGGGACAGTCTCACCTCCTTTGCCTCAAATTCCCTGAAGCATCTCTTTTCAAACATCAGTCAAGTGTGAGCCAAGTCCTTGGCCTTGCCAATGTAAAGGCAATTTCGTCCCTTGGGCAAAAATTGCCAACCTTAATGGGTTCCAGCTGTTGCATGGTTGAGTGCCCTCTCAGTCAGCCTACAGCCTGCCCTGGCATTTCAAAGGGCTCCTGCCAGGTCTGTGTCACCCCCACGCAAAAGGTGAAGCTGGCCTTTGAACCACGTGGCCTTGCCCTGTGGATGTGCATTACCTCCAAGGGAAAGGAAATGACTTCCTTCTGGCTGCGTGGCCTGGCCAGAGGCCTCAGGAGCTCAGATTACCTGGATCACTCGAGAGGCTGGCAGCGGAGAGCAGCCCGGATCAACATCATTAAGGCACGGGTTTCAGCAACACAAGCATTGCTCAGAGGACCCAAGGCAGAGCGAATTTTTTCCTCTGCAAATCTCTGTAGCTCTTGGGGACCTTTACACTCCAACATATTATGAGGTGAAAATCCTGTGGACATTTGGGCTGTACAGAGAAATGATCAGTATTTGGTATTCACAGTACAGATGTGTGTGTGGAGTGGGGCAGAGGAGGGAAGGCAAGAATCTAATCCAGTGTGCACATTATGTCTAGTTTATCACCAGGATTGCCTTGTTGTGATAACAGGGAGCCTGGCTCTCCCTGCTGGGGGAACATCAGTTGAACCAGCAGACTTTCCTCCCTCTGTGCTTAGCTGACATTTTAACCCTAGATCGCTAGAGAAATGGCAGCATTTATTAGAAACCAGATATTCAGATATTTTTATGCCCTACACAAAAAATCTTTGCCCCAATTTACTAAATTACTTTGTTTCTATATGAATAACATGTTTGTTATTATATAACATATATTATGTTATATCATAGACATATAACACATTCATATGTTATATAATATATATAGCATAGCCATATAATAACATGTATCTTAAGCCATCTAGTATAGGGGTCTCAAACTGTTAGCCCACAGGCCATGTTCTGCCTGCAGGAAGTTAGATTTGGCCTGCACAGTGCTTTCAAAAAGAAAAAACTGAGCCAACATCTAGAAATCAAGAGATGATACATTTTTGAAAATGGGGATATCAGAAATGTTTGTTTTAAACCAGAAGATCGCACAAGACTTCCCAGGAAGAAACTGAACTCCAGAATTGCTATTGCCTGTATGTTTGGGGGAATGACAGTGAGAAGGGGAGGAAAGTTCTCCAGGAACCAAGGCCCCAGCATGCCCTGTGACTCTCCTCCTGAGGCTGAGCAGCATTGGGCATTTATCACAGCACTGGAGCTGTAGATTTTTATGATGTGGAAATGTTTCCCCATGTCTCTGCCATAGATAGAAAGAAAAGTGGAAAAGATCACATTCCCTTTTTTATATGACTAAAAGCTCAGTGAAAGGATAAATGAAAGAGGCCATAGACAGAAGACAGCAAAGAAACTTCCAAAACCTTTGCACTGAGTGAATGGAAAAAATATCCCTGAGACTGAAACCACAAAGTGGCCTTCCTTTGGGTTTACAGAACAAATTCATATTTTCATTGAGAATTAATTTTAGAATGAACTCAGGCTAATGGAGGGCCCAAGCACCTTGCAGAAGAAATCGCTAATCCTCTCTGGGAATGAACTTTCACCTGGACCTGCCTTCTCAAACACACAGGGAATATTTACAAAAATTAATGTATTCTCAGCTATAGATAAAAGTCAACAAGTGTCAGAGAGCTGGCATTACACAGATTATATTCTATGACTACCAAGCAATTAAATGAGAAATTAATAACAGAATTAAAATATCCTGGAGATCAGGAGAAAGGTGGTGAATAGGAGACAGAGCTAACATGTACCTCCCACTTAGATGGACAGAACAGTGTGTGGAGACTCACACTGTAAACTTTTGCTCCAGGAACCATAGCAGGAATGTACCAGGAAAACTGAAAGAATTCACAGATCCTTTGAAAGAAGCAGTACATCACTGCAAATTCTGTAAGACAAGCAAAAAACTGTGAGTTCCTAAAGTGTGAAAGGGAAAATACCTGCCTCCAAATACATATCCCCACTGGTGAATCTGAAAATCCAGATCCTGGGAGAAGGATTTAACTTTACCTAGAGCTGAAACAGATTTAGGGAGCCACACAAAATAAAAAAGTAGAAGCAGCAGTGGGAAGAGCCCTGTAGGCACTTGTAGTCTCCAGCTCAAACCCAGGGAAGTCATCTCTGACTATATCTCACAATCGGCCTTGGGGAAGGCAGCCAGCAGAACTAGGGAGGGGTCACAGGGTGAAAGTAGCTTCCAATTGAAATTTGTAATAATTTCAACTGGGCACAAATTTTCTTGAACAGAATCTGGGGGGCAAACTGGGGGGCAAAACTGCTGTAGATATGAGCACAGGAGCCAACAACAATATTGTGGACAGACAGGGAAAGCTGTGCTTGCTTTCTCAGTGGGAAAGCTTACAGCCTGGGACAAGGTCTGAGCAGGGCATTAGAGGAGTAAGACCAGACTCACCAACTGCATGACAGCTGGGTGAGGCCTTTCACTACTGGCTATCCCCTACTTCCCTGGCAAACTATATGACACAGAAGAGGCAGCCATAATCCCCTCTGCAACACAACACCATTGGCCTGAGAACCACCCCCTATCCCACACAGCAGCCATGGCAATCCCCACCCAAGGACAGTCTAAGCCCAGACCCATGTAACCCTGCCCCAACCTGATATTTTTTCTCTACCAACCCTGGTAGCCGAACACAAAAGATAGAAACTCTTGGGAACTTTATGGCCCCACCCATCACCTGAGAAACCAGAATACTTACCCTGGCCAACTTAGGGCAAGCTTACATCTCCCTACTACTACCACAGCTGGTGTTGTCTTGAAAGTGCCACCGCCTGGCTGGAGGCAAACCAACTCAGGCCATTCCAGCAACACATGACATAATAACCCTGCTCACGGGAAGGAGAAAACAACAGCTAATTCCACCACTTGCAACATTCTGGCTAACTAGAGGTCCTGAGTCTGTCCATGTGACAATGTCACTACTAGCATAACCAGCATTTAAGAAAGTCAGCACACTAAACATATCTACAACCAAGGACTCTCACAGAGTCTAATTCACTCCCTTGACACATCCACCAGAGCAGGTGTTGGTATCCATGGCTGGGAGATATGAAGATGGATCACATCACAGGACTCTTTGCAGACATTCCCCAGCACCAGCCTGGAGCCTTGTAGCCCCACTGGGTGGCTAGATTCAGAAGAACAATGACAATTACTGCAGTCTGGCTCTCAGGAAGCTCCTTCCCTAATGGAAGTGGGAGTGCACTACATCAAGGGATCATCCCATAGCACAAAAGAATCTGAACAGCAGGCCTTGGGTTCCATATCTTTCCACTGAAATAGTCTACCTAAATGAGACAGAACCAGAAAACTAATTCCGATAATATAACAAAACGAGGTTTTATAACACTCACAAAAGATCACACTAGCTCCCTGGCAATGGATCTAAACCCAAAAGAAATCTCTGAATTGCCAGATAAGGAATTCAGAAGGTTGATTATCAAGTTACTCAAGGAGGCAGCAGAGAAAGTTGAAAACCAACTTAAAGAAATTTTAAAATCAAGATAGGGATGAAAAATTCTCCAGAGAAATAGATATCATAAAGAAAAACAATCAAACCTTCTGGAAACGAAAGACACACTTAGAGAAATACAAAATGCGCTGGAAAGTTTCAATAGATTAGAACAAGTAGAAGAAAGAAATTCAGAGTTTGAAGAAAAGGCTTTCAAATTATCCCAATCAGAGAAAGACAGAGAAAAAAGAATAAAAAAACAATAAATAACATCTCCAATAAATTTTGAATTGTGTTAAATGGCCAAACTGAATAATAATTGGCGTTCCTGAGGAAGAAGAGAAATCTAAAAGTTTGGAAGACTTAGTTGAGGAAATAATCAAGGAAAACTTCCCTGGTCTTGTGAGAGATCTAGACATCCAAATACGGGAAGCTCAAAGAACACTTGGGAAATTCATCACAAAAAGATCATCACCTAGGCACATAGTCATCAGGTTATCTAAAGTCAAGACAAAGGAAAGAATCTTAAGGGCCATGAGACAAAAGCATTGGGCAACCTATAAAGGAAAACCTATCAATCAGATTAACAGCAGATTTCTCAGCTGAAGCCTTACAAGCCAGAAAGGATCAAGGCCCTATCTTTAGCCTATCGAAACAAAATAATTGTCAACCAAGAATATTGAATTATCCAGCAAAACTAGGCTTCATTAATGAAGGAAAGGTAAAGTATTTTCAGACAAACAAATGCTGAGGGAATTCACCACCACCAAGCCAGCATTACAAGAAATGCTAAAAGGAGTTCTTGAAACAAAACTTCAAAATACCACAAAATAGGACCTCCTTAAAGCATAAATCTTACAGGGCTCATAAAAGAATAACACAGTGGGAAAAAAAGTATTTGGGCAACAACTAGCATGATGAATAGAACAGTACCTCACATCTCAATAATAATGTTGAATGTAAATGGTCTAAATGCTCCACTTAAAAGATACCGAATGGCAGAATGAATAAAAATTCACCAACCAAGTACCTGCTGCCTTTAAGAGACTCACCTGACACATAAGGACTTACATAAAGGTAAAGGGGTGGAAAAAGGTATTCCATGCAAATGGAAACCAAAAACGAGCAGGAGTGGCACTTTTTATATCAGACAAAACAGACTTTAAAGCAACAATAGTTAAAAAAAAAAAAAGACAAAGAGAAACATTATATAATGATAAAAGGATTAGTCCAACAGGAAAATATCACAATTCTAAATATATATGCACCTAACACTGCAGCTCCCAAATTTATGAAACAATTACTATTAGACATAAAAAATGAGATAGACAGCAATGCAATAATAGTGGGGGATTTCAATACTCCACTGACAGCACTAGACAGGTCATCAAGACAGAAAATCAACAAAGAAACAATGGATTTAATCTATACCCTATAATAAATGGGCTTAACAGTTCTGCCTGTTTCCAGATGAGCGAGGAGACTCATAGTCTTGTTCTTGGACTTCCCCAGCAGCATGGCCCCCAAACGCCAGTCTCCACTCCTGCCTCAAAAGAAGAAACCAAGACCACCTCCTGCTCTGGGACTGGAGGTTCTTGGACTTCCCTAGCAGCATGGCCTCCAAATGCCAGTCTCCACTCCTCCCTCAAAAGAAGAAACCAAGACCACTTCCTGCTCTGGGACCGGAGAAGACATCAGCCTCTGCAGGCTTGCCGAAGAAGGGAGAAAAAGAACAGCAAGAAACAATTGAACACATTCATGAAGTACAAAATGAAATGGACAGACTTAATGAACAAGCCAGTGAGGAGATTTGAAAGTAGAACAGAAATATAACAAACTCTGCCAACCATTTTTTTCAGAAGAGGTCAGAATTGATCTCCAAAATCCCAGATTTTTGGGTAACAATATTTGTCAATCATCCAGAAGTGTCTGCACTGCCTGGGGAGGAGGACGAAGAGGCACTGCATTATTTGACCAGAGTTGAAATGACAGACTTTGATGATATTAAATCAGGTTACAGAATAGATTTTTATTTTGATGAAAATCCTTACTTTGAAAATAACATTCTCGCCAAAGAATTTCATCTGAATGAGAGTGGTGATCCATCTTCAAAGTCCACCGAAATCAAATGGAAATATGGAAAGGATTTGATGAAACGTTCAAGTCAAACGCAGAATAAAGCTCACAGGAAGAGGCAGCATGAGGAACCAGAGAGCTTCTTTACCTGGTTTACTGACCATTCTGATGTTGGTGCTGATGAGTTAGGAGAGGTCATCAAAGATATTTGGCCAAATCCATTACAGTACTACTTGGTTCCTGATATGGATAATGAAGAAGGAGAAGGAGAAGAAGATGACGATGATGATGAAGAGGAGGAAGGATTAGAAGATATTGATGAAGAAGGGGATGAGGATGAAGGTGAAGAAGATGAAGATGAAGGGGAGAAAGGAGAGGAGGATGAAGGAGAAAATGACTAATAGAACACTGATGGATTCCAACCTTCCTTTTTTTAAAATTTTCTCCAGTCCCTGGGAGCAAGTTGCAGTCTTTTTTCCCCCCCTCTTGTGCTCATTCACCCTGTTCTTGAGGTCTCTGTTCTCTAAACCATGGCTCTCAACTTATTTTGGGGGAAATAACTTGAGCATAATACAATGGGAAAAGAGTCTCTACCCCTTTCTGTTCGAAATTCATTGTTATCCCTTCCTGTCTGAACAAAAACTGTATGGACTCGACACCACTGTGCTCTGTGGGAAAAAAAGAAAAACCTGTTCCCTTCGCACTGCTGGAAGCTGGAAGGTGCTAGGCCCTGTGTAGTAGTGCATAGAATTCTAGCTTTTTTCCTCTTTTCTCTGTATATTGGGCTCAAGAGAGTACACTGTGTCTCTATGTGAATATGGACAGTTGGCATTTACCAACATGTATCTGTCTGCTTTCTTTTGTTTAAAAAAAAAAGAATAAAAAACTTTAAAAAATGGGGTTATAGAAGGTCGGCAAAGGGTGGGTTTGAGATGTTTGGGTGGTTAAGTGGGCATTTTGACAACATGGCTTCTCCTTTGGCATGTTTAATTGTGATACTTGACAGACATCCTTGCAGTTTAAGATGATACTTTTAAAATAAATTCTCTCCTAATGATAACTTGAGCCCTGCCACTCAATGGGAGAATCAGAAGAACCTGTAGGATCTTATTTGGAATTGACATTCTCTATTGTAATTTTGTTCCTGTTCATTTTTAAATTTTCTTTTTATTTCACTGGAAAGGATAGATGATGCTCAGTTTTAAACGTTAAAAGTGTACAAATTGTTTTGTTACAATATTAAATGTGTACACAAAGGATTTGATGCTTTCCTCTCAGCCTAGGTATGCTTACTATAACCTTCCAAGTTTGACTTGTATAACATCACTGTCAAACTTTGTCACCCTAACTTCGTATTTTTTGATAAGCACTTTGCAGGATGACCTCAGGGCTATGTGGATTGAGTAATGGGATTTGAATCAATGTATTAATATCTCCATAGCTGAAAAATGTGGGTACAATTTGCCATTGGTTTCTGAAAGTATTCATATCATTTGGAATACCAGATTGCTCAATACTTTCTGAGTATATTGCGCCCTTGATTTTTATCTCCAAGTGGCAGTTTTTAAAATTAGCCTTTTACCAGGATATAAAATAATAGTGCCTGCCACCACTATCCAACATACCTGGTGCTCTAATGCCAAGTTATACATGAGACAGTTGCTGGCATGTCTTCATTGGCTATATAAAATGTGGCCAAGAATATAGGTTCTCAGAGTAAGAAGTCTGTGATGGTTAGCAGTAACTGTCCCTGCTCTCTGGTATAAAGCTCTCAAGTGTCATTATGTGAATCTGGGTGGGATAATGGACCCAGCTCTGTCTGCTCAATGCCATTGTGCAAAGAGGCACACCCTAATGCATAAGCTTTTTAATGCTGTAAAATATAGTAGCTGAAATTAAGTGCCACTTTTTCAGAGGTAAATTAATGGACAGTCTGGTGAAATTCAAAAGTTTTTTGATGTATAAGACTTGATAAATGGAACTATTCCATCAATAGGCAAAAGTGTAACAACCTATCTAGATGGATAGCATGTAATTTCTGCACAGGCCTATGTTTAATAAATACATCACTGTATACCGATCAGGAATCTTGCTCCAATGAAAGAACATAAAGATTAAAAAAATGTACTTAACAGATATTTACAGAACATTTTATCCAATAACTGAAGAACACACATTCTTTTCATCAGCACATGGAACATTCTCCAAGATAGACCATATGATAGATCACAAGACAAGTCTCAATAAATTTAAGAAAGTCAAAATTATATCAAGTATTTTCCCAAACCACAATGGAATAAAACTGGAAATTAACTCCAAAAGGAACCCAGAAAACTATATAAATACATGGAAATGAAATAATCTGCTCTTGAATGATCTTTGGGCCAACAATGAAATCAAGATGGAAATTTAAAAATTATTTGAACTGAACAATGTAACACAACTTATTGAAACCTATGGGATACAGCAAAAGTGGTGCCAAGAGGAAATTTCATAGCATTAAATGCCTACATGAAAATGTCTGAAAGAGCAAAAACAGACAATCTATCTCAAGGAACTAGAGAAGCAAGAACAAACCAAGCCCAAACCTAGCAGAAGAAAAGAAATAACTAAGATTAGAGTAGAACTAAATGAAATTGAAACAAAAAATACAAAAGATAAATGAAACAACAGGCTAGTTCTTTGAAAATATAAACAAAATTGATAGACCATTAGCAAGATTAACCAAGAAGAGAGAAGATCCAAACAAGCTCAGTTAGAAAAGAAATGGGAGATATTACAACCAATACCACAGAAACATAAAAGATCATTTCAAGCTACTATGAAAACCTTTATGTGCACAAACTAGAAAATCTACAGGAGGTGGACAAATTCCTGGAAATATACAACCCTCTTAGATTAAACGAGGAAGAAATAGAAACATTGAACAAAGCAGTAACAAGCAGTGAGATTGAAACAGTAATTTAAAAATTGCCAAGAAAAAAAAGTCCAGGGCCAGATGTATTCACAACTGAATTCTATCAGACATTCAAAGAGGAATTTGTACCAATCCTACTTAAACTATTCCAAAAGATAAGGAGGGAACCCTCCCTAAATCATTCCATGAAATCAGTATCACCCTAATACCAAAACTAGGAAAGAACGTAACAAAAAACAGAAAACTACAGACCAATATCCCTGATGAACATAGATGCAAAAATCCTCAACAAAATACTAGCTAACTGAATCCAACAGCATTTCCAAAAGATAATACTTCATGATCAAGATAATACATCATGATTAATTGATCATACATCAATTCATGCCAGGGATGCAGGGATGCAGGGATGGTTTAACATATGCAAGTCAATAAATGTGATACATCACATAAACATAATTAAAAACAATGATCATATGATCATCTCAATAGATGCAGAAAAGTCATTTGACAAAACCCAGCATCACTTTATTGTTAAAACCCTCAGCAAAATTGGTATAGAAGGGAAATACCTCAAGGTAATAAAAGCCATCTACGACAAACCCACAGCCAACATTATACTGAAAAGGGAAAAGTTAAAAGTATTCCCTCTGAGAACTGGAACAAGACAAGGATGCCCACTTTCACCACTTCTATTCAACATAGTGCTGGAAGTCCTAGCCAGAGCAAGCATATAAGAGAAAGAAATAAAGGGCATCCAAATCGCTAAAGAGGAAATCAAACTCTTGCTGTTCACCAATGATATGATTGTATACCTAGAAAACCCTAAAGACTCATCCACAAAGCTCCTAGATTTGATAAATGAATTCAGGAAAGTTTCATGATACAAGTAATCAATGTATTACACACAAATCAGTAGCACTGCTATACACCAACAATGACCCAGCTGATAATCGAATCAAGAACTAAATCCCTTTTACAACAGCTGCAAAAAAAATGAAATACTTAGAATATACATAACCAAGGAGGTAAAAGATCTCTACAAGGAAAACTACAAAACGCTGCTGAAAGAAATCATAAATGACACAAACAAATGGAAACACATCCCATACTCATGGATGGGTAGAATCAATATTGGGAAAACGACCATGCTGCCAAACGCAATCTACAGATTCAATGCAATTCCCATCAAAATACCATCACCATTCTTCACAGAACTAGAAAAAAATTCTAAAATTTATATGGAACAAAAAATAGCCTGTATAGCCAAAGCAAGACTAAGCCAAAAGAACAGATCGGAAGGCATCACATTACTTAACTTCAAACTATACTACAAGGTTATAGTTACCAAAACAGCATGGTACTGGCATGAAAATAAGCACATAGACCAATGGAACAGAATAGAGAACCCAGAAATAAAGCCAGATACTTCCAGCCAACTGATCTTTGACAGAGCAAACAAAAACATAAAGTGGGGAAAGGACACCTTATTCAACAAATGGTGCTGTGGTAATTGGCAAGCCACATGTAGAAGAATGAAACTGGATCCTCATCTCTCATCTTACAAAAATCAACTCAAGATGGACCAAAGTCTTAAATCTAAGACCTGAAACCATAAAAACTCTAGAAGATAAGATCAGAAAAACACTTCTAGATGTTGGCTTAAGCAAAGAGTTCATGACCAAGAACTCAAAAGCAAATGCAACAAAAACAAAAATAAGTAGATAGGACCTAATTAAACTAAAAAGCTTACACACAGCAGAAGAAAAAAATCAGCGTAGTGAACAGACAACCAACAGAGTGGGAGAAAAATATTCTTAAACTACGTATCTAAGAAAGGACTAATATCCAGAATCTAGAAGGAACTCAAACAATCAGCAAGAAAAAAAAATAATTCCATCAAAAAGTGGGCTAAGGACATGAACAGACAATTCTCAAAGAAGATATACAAATCGCCAACAAGCATACAAAAAAGCTCAGCATCACTAATTATCAGGGAAATGCAAATTAAAACCATAATAAGATACCACTTTACTCCTGCAAGAATGGCCATAATTTAAAATTAAAAAAATATAGATGTTGGCATGGATGTGGACAAAAGGGAACACCTTTACACTTCTGGTGGAAATGTAAACTAGTACAATCATTATGGAAAACATTGTGGAGATTCCTTAAAGAACTAAAAGTAGAACTACCTTTTGATCCAGCAATCCCACTACTGGTTATGTACCCAGAGGAAAAGAAGTCATTATATGAAAAAGACCCTTGCACACGCATGTTTATAGCAGCACAGTTCACAATTGCAAAAATATGGAACCAGCTTAAATGCCCCTCAACCAATGAGTGGATAAAGAAAATGTGGTATATTTCCACCATGGAATACTACTCAGTCATAAAAAGGAATGAAATAATTGCATTCACAGCAACCTGGATGGAATTGGAATTCTAAGAATGGCTTAATTATTTATATATATGCACATTATCTGCCAAATCTCCAATCAACCTGAGAAACAGTTAAGTTTTTTACTACTTACTTAGTCCAAACCCACTGCTTCACAATCCTTTTCCCAGATTTCAGTCCCAGACCCCAGAGTCAGGTTTAATCTTATTTACTTTCCTTACCTCTGCCTTCTCCGAAATTCTCAGACATGGACCCAAACTCCTGCTCTTCCTACACGCCCTACCGGCTACCTTGGCCCACTCCAAGTCCTAAGGCAATTCACCTCAAACCTCTGGTGATAGTTAGAATTTTCTTCCAAATTCAGGTGCTTTTTGCATGATTTGAGAGGTTTGTGAAAATCCAAACCTAGAGTCTCCTTCTTTGCCCAATGCATTAAGGCCTGAAGCTCCCCACAGCCATCCGTGAATAGATGCTCTCCCTACCTCATCTGCCCAACTTGGCCAGGTCACAGTTTGGTTTCTGCCATAGCAAGTTGGTTTGTGTCATGGGATCTGCCCCTAAGTTTCATCCAATCCCTTCCCCACCCATGACCAAACCTGCCTCTTGTTTTGTCTTGCTCAGTCCTTTTCCTTGGCCCTGGAGTTCTGCCGGCTACCTCCTCCAACACCTGAGGTTATGATATGAATGACTGGGTCTCCTGAATATGAGTAGCCCACACACCTGACACCCACCTTGACCCTTGACATGGTCCCACTTCTGACTGGAGGCCCCCAGAATTGTGCTTCTAACTATGTTGTCTTTGAACTTTGCCTTGGTTTCCCAGCTTCCTCCTTAAATACAGCTCTGCAGGATTATCCTCCACCTCTTCCACCTGAAGTCTCAAGCCACATCCTGGTTCCATTCTCTTTCTTCTCTTCCTCCTGTTCTTGGAAACAACCCACAATGCCTTGCATTGAAGGAAAACCAAAATATGGTTTAAATGCTGTATGCACTTCCACAGAAGGAAAATGCCAAACATCTGTTTTGCCTCTTTTACTGGCTGTGAAATGATGCTCTGTATTTCATGGTTCTCCTAACTAAGGACTGTTCCGAAGTGTCTAGGACACAACCTACAAGTTTTTGACTTTTTTTTAGCCATATGCTTTATATTCCTTTCTCCTGGATTTTCCCAGGTTGGGCTGTGTGTCTCCATGGTTGACCTGTCATGCACACAGACTGAGAAAAGGGAGATATTTAACAATGAATTAAAAGAGCTATTTGAAAGATCTGCTGGTCTTCATTTGGTTTCTCACTGAATGCTCCCATTCATGGGCGCAGTAAATGTTCATTCTGAAATTCTCAAAAAGAGCAAAACAAAGTCAATTAGCTCTTCTAATATAGATGGAAAACTACTGTAGATAATAAAGGAACGAACCATAAGAAGCACAGTGCTGAAAGCCAAGCACAGTAGTGCATGTCTGTAGTCTCATTTACTCAGGAGGCTGAGGCAGGAGGATCACTTGAACCCAGGAGTTCAAGGCTGTAGTGCACTATGATTGCACCTGTGAATAGCCACTGCACTCCAGCCTGGGTGACACAGTGAGACTCTATCTCTTAAAAAAAAGAGAGAAAGAAAAAAAATTCTAGGATTTGAGAATCATGTCACTGCACAAAGCACATTGGAATAACAATGAAAATAATAGCAGCCTCCCTGGATATACCACTCCAGGTCCAGGACATTCTGCTACATGTCCTTTGCTGTGGCCCTATGAGATGGGTACTTTATAGCTGAGGAGCTTTAACCACTACACCCCACCATCTGTCCTATGGCCCTAAGTTTTTGTTTTAATTTTTAATTTTCTGTTAATAGAGCTCAGTGAAAATAATCAAAAACAAAAACCAGCCAACAAAAGGCATGAGTGTTATAGAAAAAGTAGAGAAAACTCAAAGGTTTCACCCATTTGTACCTTACTGTGATCTTGGAGCTTCTCCCTTAGGATTTCTTGGTTACATTTTTCACAGTGAACTTTTCCAAATGCTTCCGTTGAAAGTGATACTTCAGAGCCACGCAGCTGACAAAATCACTCTCACAGCGCTCCCCGTTACAGGATTGAAGAGCCCACGTTCTTGCTCAATGAAGTATTGGATTTAGATCCTGTTGATGACAAAAATGGAAAGCATGAGTCCTTTGAGGAAGCTCTAGTTCCTCATAGTTAACTAAAATAAAGATATTATTTCTAGTGTGCTCATTTGTGCTCCCTCACATTAGTGTTTTCTAAGAAACACATCCCTCGCTAAAATCATGTACAACACCGTGAAAGCATCTATCTAGATCAGCTGCTTGTAACTTGGGTCTATAAACATTAGAGAGGCTGGAAAACCCCTAAAAACAAATGCAAAATTGTGTAAGTATATATATGCATTTTTCCAAAAAGAGTTTCAAATAGATCTATGATCTAAGAGATGCTAAAAACTACTGATTTTGGTATTTCCTGTATTCATGGGACTCTCTGAAAGCCATGGATTCCTCCAATTTTTACCATCCAGTGAATTCTCATATTTGACAAAATTATCATGAATGATGATTTCTGTATTTTGAATCATTCTCTGGATTTTTTAAAATGTAAAAGAGAAAGAAAGTAAGAACCAGAACTTTATACCAAGAGACATGGTCTAGAAGAGGTTGTTCGTGGTTCTAATCTCTAGCTGACTGCTTCTGAAACTGTGTATTTATTTGTTGTTGTTGTTGTTGTCATACAGCTCTGCTTGCATTTGTAATAACTTACCTGAAGCCTAGAGCTCCTTCCTCACAGTTAAGGATTATGGGATTTATAGTTAGCAGTTTTGTAGCAACTGATTAGATCCAACTTTTCTAACTGCACCAAAAAGTGTGCATTAATTTTGCATTTGCTGCTGTGACAAATTACCATAAATTTAGTGGCGTAAACACACAAAATCATTATCTTATAGTTCTGTAGGTCAGAAGTCTGCCATGGATCTTACTGGGCTAAAATCAAGGCATTGTGCTGTATATCTTTCTGTAGGTGCTGGATAGGACCCCTTCCCTGCTTTTTCCCTCTTCTAGAGTCTGCTGCATTCCCTGGCTAGTGGTCCCCTTCCTCCATCTTCCAAGACAGCAAAAGCTCTTGAAGTCCTGCTCAGGTTGCATCACTCTGATCTTTTCTACCTCCATCTTCCACTTTCAAGGACCCTTGTGACCCACTGGGCCCAACTGAATAATCTATGATAATCTCCCTGTTTTATCTGCAAACTTAATTCTCTTTTGCCATGTCAGGTAGCAAATTCATAGGTTCCAGGGATTAGGACATGGACATCTTTGAGGGAGGAGGGATTATTTTGCCTACCACATTGTAATTCTAAACAATCAGAAATAGAAATGAATCCAAGATGTGTCTGAGTAAAATAGAAGAAAGGCAAACTCTTTCTACTCTCTGCGAATGCTTCTGTGTGTAATTGGTTTTGGAGTCTTTGTCAAACAAATTTAGAGCTGCTAGATAATCCACCTAAGGACATGCACTCTTCACTGAGGTTTAGTAAGTTTTCCAACTACGGGCCCTGTCACATCAGAAAGATGTGAAATCAAGCTAGTGGGTTGTGACCATGCCTAAAAGTGTCTGCTTAATCCTCCTGTTCCCAGCCATTAAGATCATGTATATCACTGTTCCCAAACTGGATCCCACAGGAGGACGCAGGTTGACACATGCCATAAACAAGAGTTCTTTATGTACTGATTCAAAGGGTTGTGGGATTTTTAAGTGGAAACATCCTCCTCTGGCCTTCTTTCCTATCTCCTTCATCATTTTAACAGATAAGTATTTAGGGACAAGCATTTTTGTTTGGAAGGAATAGGAGCCCATTGAATGGAAAAATGGGTTTTATAGGAAGAGCTTCAGGAATCCTGAAAAATTCAAGAATAGGAAGTATACCTAGGCCTCAAGGCCATTCCTGTTCCTACCAAATTGCCTGGCACAAGTGAATACTCAATAAGCTTTGGTCCAATAAATGGAGGAATGGGTGGGCAAATGAAGGAAGAGAAAATCATCAGGAATCAAGGTAGATGCTCTCATTAACTCTAGATTTGGCTCATAATCTTACATCTCTGCTTATATGTGTCTGCTTCACTTGTCTATTTCTGCATGGTTGTATGTAGCTACTCACAATGGTGCCTTTGTAGGATGACCAACCATTCAGTTTGCCTGGGACTGAGAGGAGTTCCTGGAATGCAGGACTTTCGGTGGTAAAACTAGGAAAGTCTCAGACAATCCAGCATTGCCTCACCCTAGCACAGCCTCAGAGGGCACCTAACAAGTCAGCTTCATAAATCCAGCCCCTGTAGCACCTTTGAATTAATGCATCAAGTCCCTCCATAAGCCAATGTCATGACATTTGCAAAATTTATTGGCTCAGCTCAAACTGTGATGTTTCCCCTGTACCAGGTTTTCATCCCTGGTTCAGTCACATAACCCATCCACAATTCTATGTGCCAAGTTCTCTATGTACCAAAGGGGTGTTGAGGCAGTGTTTGGCATGTAGACCTAGTACATCATTTAGAGGTTTCCAGCAAAAGCATCCTGTCCATGATCAGGACGGCAGGGCAAAGGAATGAGGAGAATGTTGAGATTGTTAGATTTTCTCAGTGAGATCTCTCTCCTTCCTTTCCTTCTTCCTCCTTTGTTTGTCTCCCTTCATTACTGATTCACTTTTCTACGTATTTGATGACAACATGCAACAGGTATTTCTATTCTAGTGCAGCAGTGGTTCATGGACCTCTGCAGGTAGCCAAGACTCTTTCAGAGAGAAGCTGGGCTCAAAACTATTTTCCTAGCAATATTAAGACACGATTTGTCTTTTTAATGACTCTATTGACATTTGTACCGATCGTGAAAAAGTAATGATGGGTAAAACTGCTAGTGCCTTAGAATGAATGAAGACAGTGGCAAAAACTACACTAACAGTCATTTCATTCTCCATCAACATGTGGTGGCAGTAACGCTCAACAAACACCCTTTCTTCTCCTCCCAGAGGCTTTAGAACTGAGTAAGCTCAAGTAAGGTCAAATAAGGACAGCACTATAGAATGGTGTCTTGCAAGGAACCACTAGATGGGTCCAATCATGACAATTCTGTTTTCTCCAGTACCAGGAATGCAGGCTATTATTTTTCAAGACTGCTACTGAGCTGGGTCGCAGGGAGTGGGTCTAGGCTAAGTTAAAATGCCACAAAGCTCATCATTCTGAGATTCCACTGTTTCTCTTAACACTCCCTGTGTTGTTGCAAGCCTTTGGTTAATTTCTAGATTTCTGGAAAAAATGGTTCTCACAATTTTTGCCAGATTTTTCCTTGCTTTTTTATGGAAGAGTGAACTTCCAGAGATTCTTACTCTGCCATTCTCACCGACATCACTCTGTAATTACAGTTTGAATATTTTCTACAGTGAAATTTGAAAGATAATAAATGTTTGTTTATTGATCATGAACTTTCCTTTTTCTTTTTTTTGAGATGGAGTTTCGCTTTTTGTTGCCCAGGCTGGAGTGCAATGGTGCGACGTTGGCTCATTATTATCTCTGCCTCCTGGGTTCAACCTATTCTCCTGCCTCAGCCTTCCGAGTAGCTGGGATTACAGGCATCTGCCACCACGCTCAGCTAATTTTTTGTATTTCTAGTAGAGACGGGGTTTCACAATGTTGGCCAGGCTGTTCTTGAACTCCTGACCTCAGGTGATCTGCCCGCCTCAGCCTCCCAAAGTGCTGGGATTACAGGCGTCGGCCACCACGCTCGGCCCTCCTTTTTCTTAAATTATGAAAGCAGCACATACTAGCTATAAACAGTTCAACTAATACAAAATGTTTAAAGTGTTAAGTCCCTTGCTTTGTTTACCTTCTTTACCCTCTGCCTTAATGCTTCCTTCATCCTACTACATCTAACAAATTATGGAGCACCTACTACATGTAGATTGAGGTGGGCAAGTCATTGACTTAATACCTTGTTTACCTAAAACTGAGTTCTGTTACTGTTTGCGGACCTGAAAAAGCTTCCCTGGTAGATAGATGAACCAGATTACAGCTTCTGCATTTATGAGAGGAATTCTATAAAGCCCAATGGCCAGAGAACATGTTCAAATTCAGGGTCTTCGTAAGTGAGATAAATACACCAAACAGGAGTTTCTTTTCAGTAAGAAGAGTTTTACTACTAAGTGCAGTGGCAGAAGCAGGGTCACAATTCCCACAGCAGGGGTGAGTTTGTCATTCTTGTCTGCATTTTGTGTTGTGCTTAGAATGTGCTCTGGCTGCCTGAGCAGTCCTGACTACTGAAGAGCAAAGTAGATCTTTCCTTATGGTCTGCGTTGATTGAAAAAGAGGTGCCACATATACTACTTGGCTAAATTTCTTAAACATGTCTTTTAAATATTCCTTTCCTCCTCCCTCTATCCAGCAGCTCCTGAAATATCTGTCCGTATTCTTTCCCTCTCTTCCCACATTCACACACACACACAAAACCATCTATCTATCTATCTATCTATCTATCTATCTATCTATCTATCTATCTATCCATCCATCCATCCATCCATCTATTCCATTCCCTTAATCAACCTGCTTTCCTCTACCCCATCCCAGCCATTGGCTGACCTGCATAAAGTATCTCCTCTTACCCCCAGGGATGCTTCCTCTCCCCCAAAATGGCCTACACGGTTGGGCCATAGGTATGTATGGAGCATCACCAAGCTTGGAATTCTAAGACATGAAGCACCTGTTTTAAATGTCATCACCGTGAACAAACACTTGTGGAGACAAGAGCTGCAGAAAATCCCACAGGGAATATTTGCCAAACTGCCTTCTCCACAAACTCCAGTGCCTAATACTCTCAAATACTCATCCCTCTTATTAGGTGACTCTGGTCTGAAATGCACATTCTATGTTTTTCTGCCAATTACTTGCAGAACTGGTCTAGAAAGGAGTGAAATAGGAAATGTTCCTGGAGCAGTTATAAGGCTCAGGCTGAGCTGCAGTCCTCTTTTGTACACTAGGGTAATGCCACTCAGAACTACTTTTCATGGCAAACCAACAGTCTACTCACCTTTGAGGACCAGCACTCCTCTGCCTTCCCTGCTAGTACCCTTGTCTCACAGACCCTAGGGAAGATTCCTCGCCTACAGGGACCTGGGATAGTGTTTTCACCCCTGATATGGGGAGGCTTCCAACCAAGCCTGCACTGCCTCCTCCTGGAAGGCATTCGGCTGCCCTGGGAAAGCACCACCTTCCACAGCTCCTGTTGGAGCCAGTCTTACTCAAACAGCTCAACTTCCTTCCTGGTCATCCTGGCCAGTGGAAATTTCTAGGCTATCTAAATCAGACAACAGATCAGCTCAGCCACTTTACAGGACCTTTACAGGAAGGTGCAGGATACCCTTTAGAGTTAACCATTTCTTTCAAACTACAAAGGGAAAAACTTTCATTCTAGGCTACTTCACTTGAAACTATACTTTTTTAAAGCACCCTTTCACAAGAAGCATATTTCCCAGGATTTCTTCAATTTCATCTGAATTTCTCCTCTTTTCTGTGTGAGTCTGGAAGTTTCCATGAGCGCTGTGTGGATTCTAAGCCGTTTGAGGACAGACAAGCCTCCCCAGCTGTTCCTGGTTACTCCTGGTGAGCACCGGGCAAGGATAGAAGCCACCAGAGTTCCCCACAATCAGCCCACACTAGTCCAGCTGAAACTGCAGCAGCCCATCCACATTCTAAAAGACTTGAGCAGACTGCTCTTAAGGCAAGGACCCTGGAGAGGTCAAAGATCAGAATTCCTGCTCTGATTACTGAGGCTAGAGGGCAGTCATTGAAATAACTGAGGCAGGTGCCTGTCATGTAGAAGCCAATCAGACAAACAGTGCCATTTCCTGTGTGGCACATTTAATTGATTATGCTCTGGAACTTCACCTAGGGGCTTTCCACTCCAGGCAGCCAGACCCTCCTTTTATTGAAGTTTAGGTGTTAAGTCAAGACTCCCTGCATTACAAGTCTATCTTGAAACACTCTCTTTATTCTTACTTAGCCACACAGAGGAACTCAGACAAGAAAGCATTCTTGCAATTCAGGTTGAGGAGAGCCAAGCTCATTTATTGCTAATTAGAATTTAGGAGAAACCTGGAGTGAAACCGAAACAGGCAATTAATTTCCCACCTTCTCTCATTCACTTGGAACACCCGCAGGAATGTATACCTGTGTGGTTACTCAGTGCGGATCAAAAGCGCCTCTGGTTCCCAATCAGCGACACAGGGCATTCAACTTGGTACTTAAGCAGTGGTGAGAGGTCTCCACTTCTCACATTCCTCTGCACACTCCAACGAACAGAGGGAGACTCCTGGCTGAGGAATGCATGTCCCCCAGACCTGCCCCGCTCAAGATGGTGTGTTGCCATTGAAACAGGCTTTAACACCACCAGTTTCATAGCTTGAAACCTCCCCTGGCAACACCCTTCACTTCTGTTCCACATGAACCCCAATGCCCTTGACTGTCTACCACCCACCACGCAGGCTGTGTTTATAAAACCCAGGTGGCAATTTCCCGGCCTGAGCCAGCTACTCACATTAGAGTCAAGTCTCGGGTACCCACCGAGCTCAGGGCCTGATGCATAGTGGACAGATCACAATATTTGTTGAATAAATCATCCATAAAAATATTTTAAAAGTATGCCTTGGCTTTCCTCTTCCACCAGTTCAATTTATGGCTACTTTCTCTCACCCCAAGTCCAGATGGGGTCAGATATAAGCCAATTTTCTATTAGTGTGGAAAAACACAGCTAGGAAGAAAAATCTGTTGCCAATCTAGACAGGCAGATAAAGATTTCTAAGAACATTTGTTTGAAATAAATAGTTGATAAACTGCTTGTTTGTGGGAAGGGGTAAGACTCCAGGGAGCATGTCCAAATAGCAAAAGGCCTCCAAACCTTGGGGCCAGCTGCTCACTACAGGCCATTAGTTTTGTGGAGCTTTTGATGTGCTTGGCCAAACATGTCTGGATGTAGATGCTGAGACACTGGGATGTCTAGGGGCAAGAGTGACAGGTCAGCAAGGCCTGGGTGTGTGTGTATGTGTAATTTGGGTGAGGAGCACACAAAAACATCCCCCAGAAATGGCAACGTAAAGGAGAGGCTCTGGAGAACAGAAATACAAGTGAGGATGACACTGTTACAGCATGTGAGAGTAACTTCCCTTGTAGACTCTCCTCTGGGTACTACCTTGGAGAAAACCTATATTGCTCGGCAGTGCTTTGGCTTTAGTGCATTTTGTGGAAAGGAATCTTGAAGAGGTGCTAAGTTCCAAGTCTAGGTTTGCTCAAGGCAAAAAAGAGACTACAGACATGCATGCGGGGCTGAAGAGGACCAACTACATTCAGGTTATGCCTCCTCCATAAAGCAAGTGAAATCAATGGTTTTAAAATTGTTTAATATTGCCTCTTTTCCCATGCCTGTAGACTTCCTTAAGTTCCTGTCCTTCTGGCAACAGAAGGGGGTCTGTTGAAAAATAGGAAAGACGCTGGGCGTGGTGGCTCAGGCCTGTAATCCCAGCACTTTGGGAGGCTGAGGTGGGAGGATCACTTGAGTTCAGGAGTTCAAGACCAGCCTGGGCAGCATAGAGAGACCACTGTCTTTATACAAAATTTTAAAAAGTTAGCCAGGCATGGTAGCACACACCTGTGGTCCCAGCTACTCGGGAGGCTGAGATGGGAGAATAGTTTGAGCCCAGGAGGTCGAGACTGCAGTGAGCCATTATCATGCCATTGCACGCCAGCCTGGGTGGCAGAGTGAGACCCTGTTTTTTTTTTTTTTTTAAAAAAAAGGAAAAGAAAAACAAGAAAAATAGGAAAGGATGTCAGTCTGCTCTCAAAGTCCAGGGTTCTGTGGCTGAGGACTGAAGGCCTTATCTCGGGCTGATTTCAAACTACAGTCATGCATTGCTTGCTGATTTCATCATGGTGCAAACAACACAAATCTTGATGGTTTAGCCTACTACACACCTAGGCTATATGGTATAGCCTATTGCTTCGCTCCTAGGCTACAAACCTGTATAGCATGTGACTGTACTGAATACCATAGGCAACTATAACACAATGGTATTTGTGCATCTAAATACATCTAAACATAGAAAAGGTACAGTAAAAACAGCGTAAAAAAAGATTTTTAAAATGGCGCAGCTGTGTAGAACACTTACCATGCATGGAGTTTGCAGGATTGGAAGTTGCTCTGGGTGAGTCAGTGAGTGAATGTGAAGGCCTAGGACATTACTGTACCCTACTGTAGGCTTTATAAACACTGTACACTTAGGCTACACTAAGCTTATAAAAGAATTTTTCTTTCTTCAATAATAAATTAACCTTACCTTGATGTAAACTTTTTAATCGTTTAAAATGTTTTGATTCATTTGTAATAACACAGTTTAAACACACACTACAGCTGTACAAAATAATTTTCTTTATATCTTATTCTATGTTTTATATTTAAAATTTATTTTTAAACTTTTTTTGTTAAAAACTAAGACAAAACCAAACACATTAGCCTAGGCCTACACGGGGTCAGGATCATCAAGATGTCACAAGGCAATGGGTATTTTTCAGCTCCATTATAGCCTTATGGGACCATCATTGTGGCACATGACTGTACTTCAGGAAAATGGTTCATTTTCACCTTCTACCTGTAGTCGGCGAAGCTTAACGTTTATATTCTTTTCATTCAGCTCATCAACCATTATGGCAGCTGTTACTTTACCAATGCTAACCACCCTCCGTCCTTCCTGAGATTCCCTTTGGTGGTGAGTGTCTGAACCTTCTGACATTAGTATCTTCCACCTGAGAGAGATTACTTCAATGTAATTCACTTCATTTAAACATTAAAAAAAATGCTACTCTTTTGAGATCATGTTATTTGAATCATTCACAGCATCATTAAATGTAAAAGTGAAAACATTAGGATAGTTTAATTTAGCTCTGCACTCAACATTAATGAAACACCTCTTTCAACAGCAAACTCGAATACTCTCTTCTCCAAAGAAGCAGTATCCCGCAGGCAATTGCACATCATTTGTCTCAAAAATGATGCATATAAACTGTGTCTAATCTAAAAACATATACAAATTTAACATATAATGTTATATCATGTGGGATTTTAGCTCAAGCATAACTTCTAATGCCCTTAATCTGTAAAAGGAGGAAATTTAGACTAGGTCATGTGGAAGAAGTTTTCCTTCTAGCACTAATAATCCCAGGTCCTAAAGTATTTGGCCAATTTCTCTCCATCATGCCATCTAATGCATAAGTTGCAAACAATTTTTTTTCTAGCTAGAATAGAGACTTAGGCATGCTTGATTCATTTGCATGCTTAGGCAAATAAACTGAGAGAAGGAAAGGAGTATTTGTGGAGCACCTACGAAGGACCAGGTGTATTTTCCTATATACCTGTTCTTCATGTTATTACTGCAAAGTAGATATGCTTTGCAGATTAGTCAAGAGTCAGGATTTTGTTTTGTGTCTACTTTTAATTAACCAAATTCAGTGACAGCCAGAATTAACTTCAGTTGTAAAACCTATATAACCACATTTTTTCTAATATAATGCCTCTCAAATAAAATCTTTGCATATTTAAGGCTTAAATAAAAAGCATATTAGACTAAAATTATTTTTGTAATTTCCTAACTGGCAAGTTATATACCTTATTCAATTTTAAAAACTCATATCCATCTGTAGCTGAAGATATTAATATCCATACACCTCATTAAGCGCTGAGAGTTTTAACAATGACAGTTGATAATTACTCTGCCTGGGCCCGGCAATATACTAAACAATTTATAGGTTCTTTTATTTAATGCTAACAACCCTGCAAGGTAGGTAGGTAGGCACTATCTCAGTTTTATAAATGGAGGAAACTGAGGCAAACAGGAATTAGTAACAACTCTCTAAGTGGAAAATGATTGAACCAGAAATCAATTCTAGTTCTGACTGATACCAGCCTAATAGCCTTTCAAGTATTTAAATTTCTTGAAATTGTTACCTTTTGTTATGTGATAATAGTAATATTCCAATAATTTTGCTGAAGTTAAAAATTACAGAGGTCTTTGAGGAAAAAAAATGAAGACATAAACAGCCACTAAACCCATAGGGCAGCCCATGTTCAATCCTGCATGTAGGACCCAAAGATCTTTTCAGCTGCATTCACATAGAAGAGCAACAGCATCAGAAACTGCTGAACAAAAGAACTTTCAATTTCCCACATTTGGTTTGTACACAAATGACACTTTAATAAGCAACACACTGACAGCCCTAAATTGTCTTTCCTATGCTGAAGTGGCCTCTGGTATGTTCCCTGACTTCCTTTCAAACTATTACCTCCTGGTGCTGCCTGCTGGTCAACAGTTCAACTCTGATGACTGCTATTTTATTATCACATTAGGTTCTTCTTTTATAAACACAAATGGGAATAGGAAAGCAAGAATCAAACTTATTCTGTGTAAGCCAAGGTCCTGATTATTCAGCTCAGCCAACAACAGAAATTACAGGGGTACCCAAAGTGCATTTCAATTCAACTGGACTTTGGCCAGTTGAATGGAGGTCATCCATGAAGAGAAATGATAAAAGTAAACAAGCACAGAGCATTGGGAACATATCAATTATGGATCTAGTAGGTGGGTGAAATTAACGACTTAAAAGTATGTTTTTGCCCTCTAGCAGAAAACCACCTCTTTAAGCATGTAAGTCAACTGTTCAACTTGCACACAAGTTTTAGTAAACACCAGAGCCTTTGTGTGTGTGTTGGCGGTGGGGGGTCGGGGGGCTTTATGTAAGAACAGAAGAAGCAAAAAGAAGATACAACTGAATCATTCTTCTGTACCATGGGTTCTAAAAATAATTTAGAAAAATAGGTTATTGTTACTCTCCATCCAAAAAGTCTATCAGAATCAAAGTGTTCTTTACATTTATAATGGGTTTTAGTTCAATTGTTTACTGCTGGTATCTGTGAATTAAAAAGCACAAAAAATTTAACCAGAAGCTTCTGATCAAAACTTCACAATTTTAAGAACATTTCCCCTATATATTAGTAATGATCATTATAAGAGATTTTAAAAGGGCATGCATCAAGGTTTTGTGTCCTCAGAAATAGGATTTTGGGTATGGGAGTTAAGACTTACTTTGCCTTCAAACGCCCACCTAACAATTACTGTAAAAGAATACTTATTCTAGTTCATATATCTGGAAGCCTAAGAAATTCTCAGTTCTTCCTCAAGGCTACTCATGCAGACAGAACCAAGAAACTCCTTTTGTAGACCTGACCAGGAATGTAACCGTGGCAGTGTGCCTCTAAAAAGGTGCACTCATACTCCTACTTATATGTGAATCAACGCAAGGGGTATTTCCCTGATAACATCCAATGTCTCACCTTCAAAGTAAGACAGCGTTCCTTGGTTTCACTGGCATACGACACGTATGACATTTCTCACACTGATTTAGGTACTGTATGACTACTGCATCAGTTGGCTACTTAGGTGACCTGAGTGTTTACAAGAACTGCTTTAGTCCAAAAAGTAAATAATGGTCCTGATGGAGCTCCCGTGACTGTTAGCTATCCGCCCTATGCATCCACTCAAAGTTTTAACCCTAACCTCAGGGGACATTTGGCAATGTCTGGAGGAGAGGTTTTAGTTGTCACAGCTGGGGACAAGAGTTACTATTGGCAACTAGTTGCAATTGGCATGGGAGGGATCCTGCTAAATGTCCTATGATACACAGAACAGCCCCCACAACAAAGAATTAGCCACCTCCGAATGTCAAATGTCAACTGAGGTATATGCAATAAAGACACTGGATACTGGTGAAATAAAAAACTAACCACAGAAGACAATGAGTACAGGAGCTGCCCTGGTAGAGGTCATAACCTAAGAAGAGATACCACTTTATATATACATTAATCCAAAGAGTCCACACAATGTTTGTATTTAAATACTTTTATTTTCATTTCACAAAAAAAGCAACAGTGTTTGCAGCTACACATGCCTTTCAGTCAGTGCTGGTCATATGCAAAACAAGTTATCAGAAATATAAAGAAAAATAAGCCTTTTCCCTTTACAAGTGAAACAACACAATTTGCATATACAATATTATATATACATATTTTCAAAATGTTTCACAAAAGACAGATTATGATACAAATTTAGAATTCCACCCACAAGCTCAGACTCAAGGAATTGAAGATCTCTATAGGTGTTTAAATATAAAAATGTAATACCTTTACAAGTTTCCAAGTAACTACTTTCCAAAGTATTTGAAAGAGGCTATTCTTCACAGCAACATGGAACACTTGGCTTTAATCAAGACAGCTGTAAAACTAAGTTTTGTCTCAATGTGAGTTTGTTGATTAATGCAAATGCTCCAATTATGCCATAATTCTCATTTTATATACACATACATACACAGCGTATTATTGTACTGATGGTTTACACAGTCCAATTTCTGGAGCATTTCCTTCAGCTAAGCCATGACCTTTACTTCCTTTGAAGTATTTTAAATTAAGAACTGTTCAGAAATATCACTAATGACTACCATGACTAACTCCAAAAAGGTGCCCTTTTTTCTTTTATTTATGATCAAATGTAAATGTGTCATGAATAAACTTATTTTTTTCTATGGCAGCAGGTATAAGTAATAGCAAAGTATAGGCTACTTTTTCAACACTAGAATCTGAGAGTTTGATATACAGTATGTAACATTTCTTTGCAAATTTTCTAGGAGTTCTATCACTCAATGTTTCCAAAATAGTAATATGGCAAATCTTCAGCATGGAGTAGTAGTATCAGAAATGGGAAAACAAACAATGCTAAGAGGCCTGAAGGAAGGGAGGAGAGCAGAGAGGGAGGGAGGGAGGATGTGTGCCCATGCATTTTCCCTGATGCAGACAAATGTGGAGTTTTAACATTTACCATATGGTAGATGAGGAGACAGTGTGATATAAGAATGCTTAAAGCGAACATACAGGTCTGGATACATGATATGCACACAAAATACAAGGCTAATGAGGCAGCAATGGCTTAAATTTGTGAATGCCAGTGAAGAAAACACCTAACAGTATAGGCACTAAAGACAAAATGGAAAGCACACAATGGAGAACGGAGGAGAAAGATGCAGTCACACAAAAGACCTCTGGGTAAGAAAGGGCCAACTTGTCTTGCCACATGTGGGGGATGAAAGATAGAAAATTCCTTTTGGATTTAGTTTTGGGGCTCATGTTCTATTCATCAGAGCCATGTCAATAACTCGAAAGGGTCATTCCAAGACACAATTTCTACCAGGTACACAAGCTATGCAATTGATGGAATCATAATAGACTTCTATAGATGAATCAGAAGTCCAGGCCTCAAAAAGAAGCTACTCTTAACGGTTTGCAAATGCGTTCTAGACAGCACTCTTATTGGCTTATCAGCTTCGCCGGTTTACCAGTTACTAAAAGATATATGAGCAATGAAGTTTAAACACAGCTTTATTCAATATTGTCCTCTTGCCTTTCTAGAATTTACAAAAGCACAGGTCCCTTTTCACTACCTCATTCAATCTGAATCAACATAAGAAATGCTGGATCTAATTAGCTTTCACAACTCAACCATAGCTGAGTGTCTTCTCCTGTCTTATCTGCTGCACACCTGTTGCTATTAGTTACATTAATACACTGCTACACCTTCCAGCCAGATGGCAGGGATTTAGTAGGTCTTTATTTTTGTTAGGTATAGTCAGACCCCTTGCAAGGGACTAAGTGTTAAAGGAAAATAATGGCGGAAGAAAGAAGCAAATGATATATATGCATCTACACACTTGCATCCTTAATGGAATAGATCCTAGAGAATGAAATAAAATAACCACAAAATAACTACACTAGCTACTGCTAAGTGAGGAAATATGTAGGAAAAGAAGTGAGCTGTCATATTATGAAACTCGACTTTCATTAGGTCCCTACATAGCCATGCAAAAGACTACAAAATGAAATAAAGATATGAAAACATATTAAGAATATTCCCCTACCAAAAATAGAAATCTCTCTAAAACAGACAAGTAAGTAAACAACACACAACTATTCTACTTCCTATTGCCGACACAGGCAATAAGGAAAGGGGAGGATGGGAGATTTGTCATACACTGATCCTCGATTTTCATTAGGTACCTATATATCCATGCAAAGGACTAGGTACAAAACCAATAACATGAAACATTTATATACATCTTTAAAAAGTATAGACACTGTCCTTTCCCCCTGACTATTACCCACCCAAAGAACCCCTCCCCATAAAAAAAAATTAAACAATAAAAAACCCAAGATATGAAACTATTGCCCCTGTAGGCAATGAGGGAAGGGAAACAGGAGAGTTATCATACGTCTGGACCTCCATGTTTCATTATGTACATCCATGTCCCAGCAGAGGACTGGGTACCACATTATATAACACACAGAATGTAGCAAATATTTATATACATTAAAATGTGTGTGTATAGTATATAAATATGTGTGTTCTTGTGTGTATATACACACACATATACACTCAGACACCCCCAAAAGAAACCAAACATCTATTCTACCATTGCCCCCTAGGCAATGAGGGATGGGGAGTATGGGATATTTTTCATAGAGTCAATCTCAACTTTATTACTATTAAGTACCTAAGTGGTCATACAAAGGACCAGATTCAAAATGAAGTTAACATCAAAAAGGAGCAAAACATTTATATACATTAAAAAAATTATATATCTTGCCTTTTCCTCTCAACAATCCCACTCCTCATTAAAACCCTCAAAAGCAAAAAACCAAAACCCAAGCCCTGTAGTGCTCACATACTACTTGCTTGTGTATACAGGCTCTGAGGAAGGCAAAGAATATTTACCACACTCTCGGGTCTGGGTCCCTCATTACATTTGATTCCTACAACTCCAAACAAAAAACTGTGTTGAGAGTGAAAGAACAACAATAACAACAACTAGCAAACTTTTATATACATTAAAAAAAAGACAAACCCAGAAATTCCCCACCTCCCCTACCAAAAAAAAAACAAAAAAACAAAAAAACAAAATCCCTTAAATAACTACTCTACTGGCCATTGCCAAGACAGGCAATAAGGGAAGGGGAGAAGGGGAGATTTTTTCATAGAATGAACCTCAATTTTCATTACGTACCTAAGTATCCATGGAAAGGCCTTGGCACACAATGAAGTAACAGGAAAAAGGAGCAAGAACATTTATATACATTTCTAAAAGTGCACACCCCATCCTCCTGGAGATAGGCAGATGGATAAAAAAGAAAAACCATCTATACTACTCTATAATTATTGCCTACAGAGGCAATAAGGAAAGGGGAAAAGAGGAGATTTTCATACATCCGGACCTCCACGTTTCATTAGGTACCCGTAAGTCCAAGCAATGGACTGGGTACAGCATGAAATAATACAATATAGTTAATGAAAAGTATATATACATTTTTAAAAAGGATATATTCTGCCTTAGACCCCTCCCACCCCTCAAAACTTAAAAAAATCCAAACTACTTTAAAATTATTGCCCATATACATTAAAAGGGTAAAGGGAGAACAGATTGTTATACATCCATAACTCCATGGCTCATTAGGAACCTACACATCCAAGTGAAGGACCGGGTACCCAATGAAACACTATAATAAAGAAATAAAAATATGTACATACATATACAAAAGTATATACCCCAACACCCACCAAAGAATCCCTGAAGCTAATCAACTACTCTCTTAGACACCTGCCCACACAGACAATCTAAGGGAAGGGCAGAAGAGGAGAGCTGCTACAGGCTGAACCTCAATTTTCTTCATATATCCATGTAAAGGACAAGGTAAGAAAGGTAGTGACAGAAAAGTAGCAAAAACATTTATATACATGTTTAAAGTATATACTCTTACCTTGAAACCTCTCCTAGCAAAAAATTTTCTCTCTCCTAGCAAAAAATCTTCAATAAACCCAAACTACTCTTAAGTATTGCCCACATGGGCAATAAGGGAAAGGGAAAAGAGGAGACTGTTATACATCCGGAACTCCATGGTTCATTAGGTACCTTTCAGTCTGGGCACCCGATGAATTAATACAATGTAGTAGTAAAAACATGTATATACATTAAGTGCATTTTCCTACCTTCCCCGTCCCTCCCCCTCACCTCAAATACGCCACTTGACAACTACTCTGTTAGCTACTGCCCAGCAGTCAATAAGGGATGAGGAGAATGGGAGACTGTTATACATCGAGATCTCCACATTTCATTGGTACTTTCACATCCATGAGAAGGACACAGTGTGAACCAAATTAGTAATACAATGTAGTAGCAAGTTTATTTATATACATTAAGTACATACTCCACTCTCCCCCACACCCCAAAACAAAACAAACTACTCTATTAGCTATTGCCTAAATAGGCAGTAAGGAAAAGGGAAAAGAGATTTGTCATACTCTGAACCTCAATTTTCATTAAGTATATATGCATCCATACAAGGAAACAAGTATAAAATGAAGTATAAAAAGGTGGCACAATATTTATACACACTTGAAAGAATAATATACAACCCCAGCCCCAAGACTAGATCAAAACAACAGCAACTAGGACTACTCTGTCAGTTATTGTCCATGCGAACAATAAGGAGAAACGCAAAGGGGACATCTGTCATGCTTTTGGACCACCGCGTTTTATCTACACGTCCACAAAATGGATGAATGAAATACAAAATGAAATAACACAAAATAGCAAAAACATCTGTACACACTTTTAAAAGAATATAGCTTGCTCTCCTCTCAACATCACCACCTTCTTCCAAAGAAGGAAACCAAATAACTAGTCTGTAGCTACTGCCCATACAGGTAAAATGGGAAGGGTAGATGAAATTTTCATAGGATGATATATCACTCTTCATCAGGAAAAAAATATACAAAATGAAATAATATAAAAACTATCAAAAACATGTATGTACATTTTTAAAGTATATACTCCCAAAAAAACCACTGAAAAAAATCGATCAACTTTTCCATTAGCTGTCACCCACACAGGCAATAAGGTTAAGGGAGGAGATTTACCATACTTTTGAACCGCTACTTTTCAGGTAGTACTTAACTGGCAAAGCAGGGAATGGAGCACAAAATAAAAGAATGCAAAAACAAGCAAATATATATATAACTTAGTTTTTAAAAATACAAATGGGATGAAGGGGGAAGGAAGCTCTTTAAAAAGAGATTTAATTCCAATAAATACAAAAGTAACAAAGGCATAGGTGAGAAGAAAAGCTATGTCATATCCATGGCCTCAGTTTTTAGAGAGGCCTAAGTAACAAAATCCACATCTAGTTTTGCAGCCCAGGAAATGCTGTCCTTGGAGGTGGCTCATCTCAGATGTATTTGCCTTCCCTGAAGCCCCATGAAACATGGGGATTATGTGAATGTTTAGCAATCTGATGGCAGATTATGGTTCCAGGTACTTTGGTTTAAATAGACTCTTTTTAAAATCCATCTCAACAAACTGTCAGTAATCCAACAAAATCAACACTTAACTCTTTTTTTTTTGTTTTTTGTTTTTTGAGACAGTCTCGCTTTGTCACCCAGGCTGGAGTGCAGTGGCACAACCTTGGCTCACTGCAACCTCCGCCTCCTGGGTTCAAGTGATTCTCGTGCCTCCCAGGTAGCTGGGATTACAGGTGTGCACCACCATGCCCAGCTAATTTTTATATTTTTAGTAGAGATGGGGTTTTGCCATGTCGGCCAAACTGGTTTAGAACTCCTGGCCTCAAATGGTCTGCCCACCTTGGCATCCCAAAATGCTGGGATTACAGGCATAAGCCACCGCGCCCAGCCAACACTTAACTGATTTCTTATTTCCTAATAGAAAGGATTCTGTTTGGTATCCTATAATACTGATGCAGCTTGATTTGCTCTGTACACCCAGGAGTCTTCTGACAACTCTTGTGTTCCTGTGGTGGCTAATGTCCCACAAAATGGAAACACATATGGCAAGGAAAATTAAAGTAGAACCTGTGATAGTAAGAAAGTTCATGAATGCTGAAACAATGACAACAAAATTTCATTTAAAGAGACTTAAATAAAACAAGATGGAGGAAGGCCCAAGCTTATGGTGAAGCTGATACTACTTGCAGTTTAATATATCTAACCATTTTATATTAACAGAACAAACTGGACTTATCTAATTCCTACATTCATAACTTTTTTAGATCTCCAAAGCATAAACATTTCTTCCACAACTCAAGATTTCCAATTCTTTTTTAATAATCTAGTATGATGACCCTTTTATATTCAAGTAGATCTCTCTGCAATGAGAACACTTGTTCAACAAGTACTTGTGTCATGAATCTGTGTGCTTAAATAAAAGAAGCATACTGTGACTTCTGTGCTTCAGTCTGAGTTCTCAGAAATACACTGGCTAAGACAATGTTTTGAGAAGATAAAACTTTGAAAGCTACCATTATACCTATTACACTACAAGTTCTACCTCTCATTTAACCTTACATTCCTGACGTAGTTTTTAGAAGTCCTATATAGATGGGTTAGTTCAACATTAAAATTATGGAATTCTGTGGGAAAAACTGAGGCAAGGCCTACTAAAACTACAAATAATTAAGGTAAGGGCAACAACATCAAAAAAACTACAACTATTATGGATCTGGTATTATGGGAATGAACAGCCTTTGAGTAATAAAGATAGCAATGGATCATGAGTTATCTCTTTTTCAGGCCAAGTTTTGATAAAGTTTTACTCATAACAATACCCCCCACACTACACACACACACACACACACACACACACACACACACACACACACACACAGAGAGAGAGAGAGAGGGAGAGAAATGATATAATTCAAGACAAGATTTGCCATATGCAGAGTTAACTAACATACATTATAGGAGCGATGTCAAGAAGCACAGGTAAAACTGAAGAATCTTAAGTGATTTTGAGAAGTTACAAAATTTAAATTTTGTATCAAAGTGGAATTTAGTACCACATGGTAAAAAACCAGCAACGACAACAAAACTCTCAAAAGTTTAGTATTTTTCCCTCACTCTAAAAATATAAAAACACATTAACTTTCACTATCAACTAAATTATCATTCATTTAACCAAAGCACAAGAATAAAGACTTACAATCACTTCAGTTGAATAAGACATATTTAGATGATTCTGTGATTCTCAGGATATAATATTTTCTACTCTAAAACAGATAAATTTTAGAAAAGACTAAATTGGGGAAAACACACTAGGATTAAAGAAGACTATTTTTTTAGCTTACCAGCCTTTTAAATTTTATTATATAAAAATATTTTCATAAAATAAAATATAATTTTATTCACAATTCCATACATTCTAACTTGATACCTGCCGAATAAAAAAAGGGTGACCTTTCCCACTGTCTGACTCTGTGGAGTGTTTTAAGTGCTCACAAATGGGTAAATACCCTTTTTATGTACATAGAAACTGTTTTCAAACAAAATATAAAGTTCTCAAGAATTATTAGGAAGAAAGCTTTTCTCCTAAGAATCAAAGAAACACAACAATCTAGGTATAAGTCTGCATAGCTCAAAAATTCAAGTACAGTATTTCTCTTTCAGAAGGAGTAAAATGCCATACAGTTTCGGACATCCTCCCTCATTTTTCTTCTTTCCTTCTTTGACCACTCCTTTTATGTTAGTTTGGACACACAAAAAAAGAAAAACTACAATTTTTAACTAAACAAAAGCACTATTTTTGATAGTGAAAAAAATTCAAAGCCCACCATACTAAACACGAATTCAAGTTACTCCTATCCCACATTCTCTTTGTTCCTTTAAGGTACTATGGTGAACTTCAAATAATTGTTTTTCAATTTCTCAAAGGCTCTGTTTTAAAATATGCTTCTAATATGCTACACTATCATATAAAATGAAAATTCACACATGGGTATGATTCAGAGAGAAAGTTTCTATGATCTATGATGCCAAAAGGCAACTTAAATTGCATTCTTAGTGATAGTGATAAAAGTCACAATGAAAACCACTGGTGTTACCAAAATGCTTGCCACGAATGTAGAAATACTAACCTAAAGTATATCTACGGCAGGGAGTGATAAAGGTGTACAGATCTGGGGACTATCACCATTTATGAATAAAATAATTATAATTAAAGCTAACTCAGTTTGGAACAGTTTCCTATGGTAACGCTATAAAAGATGAAAAAGAAAGTCTTAAATATTCAAAAAATTTAACCTTTTGGCCTTGTTTAGCTTTTCAATACAACAAAAATTTTAAAAATCTGTAGCACCTGGCTATTCGGCAGGAAAAAAACACAATAGTTACAGACATTATTTAAACTTTTTTTCAGAAAAATAAAGAATTAATCAAAACCCCAAATCAAAGTAGATCTGCACACCTGAGGTCAGTTCTTACAGTGCATGCTTTATTGTCTTCGTTACCATATTCTTCAGAGCTAACTTTGTACCACATTCCAATGCCATCTATCAATAAGAAGCAACAGATGGCTGACAAACCAGCGGCCTGAAGTGATGGCGGCTCTTAGGGTAGAACTTTCCTTGTTTTACTGTGTCAGTAACTTTCTGGATACTGAGGAATAGAACAGAATTCCAAAACAGGGTTTTTGTCCCCATCTGTGTATCTTCAAAGTAGAAAAATTACTCATTGTTTTTGTAGATGGTTGGCATTTAGGTGAATATAATTTTGTAATAAATAACTACATACTGCCCAAAGACACTTCAGAAAAGATGGATGAAAAATACAGTCAGGCCCTGAGCTAACTAGAACTCCAAAGAGTGCAAACAACTTGGCAGCGATCCTGGCTTTACCTTGGCTTTTGCAAAAGCGGCAGAGCCCAAGCTTACAAGCTCTCTGAATGGGCAACAAAATGAGGTGCGGTTGTGCATGCTACAGCCACCATGTGAGACTTTTGAGGTTCTTCTCCATCCACTGGATATTCAACTGAATGACTTCCAAAGCCTCCTGGACACAACGAAGCCGGAAGGTTGCCTCTGACTGATTTTCAAAGAATGCCTGAACCTGTAAGTTTCACACAGAAGAATTTCAAAAGAAGAAAAGGACGATAAACCTCAGGTAACCCCAGCTTTTAAAATAAGCTTTAACTTAGTGATGGCTGTGCTGCTATCTTGAAAGCAGTAGAAAGAAGTACTTTAATATTCAAGGTATCTACATGGAGTTCCCAATCAAGTATGGTGATATCTGAAATGATTTTAAAAAGGAAATCTTTTTACTCCCACACAGATACATTTTTCTAACTTAAAATGGAACCAAGGAGATGTTTAAGTAACAATAAATAAAGTAGAGTCCAAAGGCTTGGTGCTATGAATTCACCCCAAGAATGCAATTCTTCCAAACAATTTTATGACCACTTAAATTATTTGTATTAGGGAGACAAGGGAAGAGAATGGAATCAGATTTTTTCCTCATTATCATATATGCCACCCTCTAGAAGTAATCACAATGCAGAATCATTAGTACTGATAAAGGAAGACAGAGATAAGAGAAGGAATTAGCATGAAAATCCACCATCTCACTAAAACTGAGCAGCCTGGTCCGGGTGTGCGGAGGGTTGCCCAGTCTCTGTATTATCATTTTATAAAACCAACCTCAGATAAATGTGTCTTTGTTGAAAACAGGTAAGTTGATCCAGCAACAATATTTTGTATGGTATAGGACCCCAGAGGGAACCTGAAGAAACACAAAAACAAGAGCAAAAAGATTAGGCAGCTGCTGGTAAAGCGTTGTTCCTGAGTGCAAGGAAAAGTCTTTAATGCCAAAGCCAGAGTGGAATCCTCCTCCCGGAACTGCAACTGAGGAAACCGGGGTAGCCCTATGCATACTTATTGTCGGTGGGAAGGAAAGGTGGGCAGAAAAAGGGAAGAGTTCAGAACATGCAGACAATTAATCCGCTTAACATTGTCGAAGATCACACTGTACACCCAGAAATGCCATTATTGATTTAAAAGAGAGAAAGAAGCAAAAAACCTACATCTGCATCTAGCTGAATGTGAGTTCTTAACTGATGCCTTGGCAATGCAGAGGTATTTTCCTTTTTGTTTTTTTTTTTTGAGACGGAGTCTCGCCCTGTTGCCTAGGCTGGAGTGCAGTGGCACAATCTCGGCTCACTGCAAGTTCTGCCTCCCAGATTCACACCATTCTCTTGCCTCAGCCTCCCAAGTAGCTGGGACTACAGGCACCCGCCACCATGCCCGGCTAATTTTTGGTATTTTTAGTGGAAATGGGGTTTCACCGTGTTAGCCAGGATGGTCTCGATCTCCTGACCTCGTGATCCGCCCATCTCGGCCTCCCAAAGTGCTGGGATTAAAGGTGTGAGCCACCGCGCCCGGCCATACAGAGGTATTTTTCAATATGCATAGCTAAATGGTTGCTATGAAATAGTCTGTAGCCACGCTGAGCTAAGTAACCTGGTGCCAAGCAAGGCTAGGCTTAATTAGAACTTAGATGGAATGCTACTGTTAAATGATTCATGCTATGGAATTATGTTAACAAATGTGAAAATTTCCGGATGTTTCAGTTAAACTGTCATGGAAGTATTTTTCCTCTCACAGCAAATCCTAACTTCTGTGAGCCAAAACACTGGGAGCTTTTTTCAAATGCACAACTTGAGAATACTAAAAGTTAATAATTCTCTGAGAAACTTACTTCTGTACAAGCTTATTCCAGTTCTCTTTGACAAAATCCCATGCCAGTAAGTGTCCAGGAAAATGTCGACCCACTGTTCTAATGATAAAAGACAGCTTCTGTGTTCGGAAGTTATCTCCATTCAGGCTACTTTTCATTAACCTGAAGAGCAAAGCAGATTTAGCCTCCAAAATTATTATTCATGAAGAAGTGATGACTGAACTTAAATTAAAATTAGTATGGTTTCCTAATTAAAGCTGTGTAGCAAATTGAGAAATAACTGTTGCATTAGTCTACGGTTGATCTATAGATTGAAAATGTCATTTTTTTTAAATGAAGAAAGAACTCACCAATAAAATAGGCATTTACCTATATTGTCACATGACAATAAATAGTTTTTAAATAGTAAAAACATTTAGGAAATAAGTTCTGGTAGAATTTATTACAATTCGGGAGGTGGGTATTTTTTTCTGGTAAAAACCTTATTTGATTTGAATGGGCAGGTTAATTATATTACTATTCTTAAAAAAAACTAGGTCATTTGAATTATTTGAAAATTAGGATACATTTCAGAATATACTCTTATTAATGTTCGTAGCAAACATTTACTGACACTATGTACTAAATAATGTTCTAAGTCCTTGACACAACAATGCTATAAAGTAGGTATTTATTAATACTACCTAACTCAATTTTATAGTTGAAGAAACTGAGGTTATCTAATTGACCCACAGTCACACAGTAATAAATACCAAAGCCCGACATCTGAACAAAAGCAGTTCTCATCTACTATGCTATACTATCTGTTTATAGTGAGAAACCACGCCCCACTCCAAGACTGTGGCAGTATTTTTAGGAGAGAAAAAAACAAAAGCCCAACAAAACGTGATGGATTAAATAAATTATGATAGGGCCATACTACAGAATATTATGAACCCATAAAACACTTTAGTTTTTTTTTATATATAAAGCAGGCTTCATGAAGTGACATGGAAAATCTCATAGACTGATCATTCACTAAAAAGATGGTCACAAAACACTGGGTATGGTATAAACCTAATATGGTTTTTAAAATGCAGTTAAATATGTAGGTATGTGTGTATGTATGTACGTACATATGTACAAATATCCATTCCCACAGATGAATACAAAGACCAGGACTGACACTGTTGTTAACAGAGAAAACGAGAATGGAAGTGAAGGATCATGAGAAATACTTTCATATTTTACTCTATATTCTTAGGTACTGTTTAAATTCTTTATCATGGGCATTCTTAGTGTATTACTAGCATAGTTTAAAAACAGTGATTTTTCTCTATTTGCTTAAGTCAGAGGCTGGCTAATACTTTAAAGAAAATGACTATTTACAGCGTATCTTTTGGTAAGTGGGTCTGGACAGGTACTGAGGACATCTCTGGGACACTATTAAGATTTATCTGAGCAAAATCATACAACAGAAGTAATGAGACCCAGAAGCCTCCTTCTATCCTCAGTGCGACTTCTAACACCTGTGCTCTCTACAGCAGATACCTCTATATTCCTCTTGGCTATGTAGAGCTCCTCTACCCCACCACTGCCTGTTCTTCCTGTCAGGAGGCCCTACTTACTGCCCTACCTTCATCCATATGACACTCCTACTTCTGGGCCTTCATCACTACATATTAAAAAGGAAAAGTCTGACAAATAAATTCATATGAACGTAGAACCTAGAAGGTTTAATATGTGATTTTTTTTTTCTGAAATGCCTACATTTTTAAAATGACAGCTTGCACAAAGCAATGCCTTGGTCCTAAACTATGGAGTACCAATTGTGGTGTATAAGACAACATTCCAAGGGGAGGAAGACTTTTTGAGCAAGGAGTAGGAGGGGGCTGTGACTCCTGACATCTTGTAATCCCTTTTGGGCAAAGGATTTTCTGCTTGTCCATAAAGATAAAGCCCAGCACCTGTAGTCTCCTCACCACACTGTCCAACTTAGGCCTGGCCTGTAACAGAAGTGGGGAAAAGAGATCCCCTCAAAAATGAGCTCCTGACCAAGAGCACAGTGTTTGTATTCTTTTGGTTTCTGTATATCATATTCCTCGGTGATTTCATACCAGTAAAGCTTCCGCACATCCTCTGAGCTGGCAAGTGCTTCTAGTATTTTGTTCTTCTCTGCTTCAGAGCCTATAGAAATGTATTTGCCCAAAAGGAATGACCAGCCTTTGTCAGTTTTTGCTCCAACTTTGAACACAGTTGTCATGACATCAGTAGGTAGGCTGTAAGAGAGGTGGTCAAACATGAGAATAACAAGAAAATATTCTGAATACAAAGGCGAAGAGTTGGCTGTGGTGGAGTTTCTGGTGTGAGGGTTGGTAATAATAACAAGTTTGAGTACACAATTTAGGGTTGAGAAAAAGTTTAATTCAGTGACTGCTATCTTCCTAGTAGTGTGTCTATGGATACATCAGTTCAATTTAATATTCACAGAGTACTCACAAAGAACCAGGCAGGCGACTGGCTGGACACTAGGGAGCGGAAAAGGAATGAGAGCCTCTGTCCTCTGAGAACTCACAGGCTACTACGAAGTATAGAGCAATAACTATATGCATTACAATTCAGTGTGATAAGTTTCATGGTAGAACTATAGCAGTAAATGGGGTGCAGGGAGAAAACACAGTCTACTGCCTTTATTAAGATCTCAGAGCTGGGAAAGACCTCAAAACGTTATCCAAATCCTCCACCCCAACTCTTCATCTGATGCTTGAATCTTCTCTCCATAATGCACGGTAAGGAGCTGGAGAGAACTAATTACCCCCAAAAGCTTTTCTGTTAACTGCTAACTCTACCTGCTATGTTTTATTTCTAAATTAAGAGACTTGTTTATCACCTCACACCCATTAGGATGGCTGCTATCAAAAACCCAGAAAATGGCAAGTGTTGGCAAGGATGTAGAGAAATTGGAATGATGGTGCAGCTGCTGTAGAAAACAATATGGCAGTTCCTCAAAAAATTAAAATTAGAATTACCATATGATCCAGCAATACTACTTCCAGGTGTATTTCCAAAAGAATTGAAAGCAGGGTCTCTAGGAGATATTTGCACACCAATGTTCATGGCATTATTATTCACAATAGCTAAAAGGTACAAGCAGCACAAAGGTCTATCCAGGAATGAATGGATAAACAAAATGTGGTATATACATACAATGGAAAATTATTCAGCCTTTAAAAAGAAAGAAATTTTAGCCAGGTATGGTGGCTCATGCCTATAATCCCAGCACTTTGGGAGGCCTAGGTGGGCAGATTTTCTGAGGTCAGGAGTTCAAGACCAGCCTGGCTAACATGGTGAAACCCCGTCTCTACTAAATATACAAAAATTAGCCAGGTGTGGTGGCGGATGCCTGTAATCCCAGCTACTCCGGATACTGGGGCAGGAGAATCAATGGAACCCGAGAAGTGGAGGTTGCAATGAGCTGAGATCGCGCCACTGCACTCCAGCCTGGGTGACAGAGCAAGACTCCATCTCCAAAAAAAAGAAAAGAAAGAAAGAAAGAAATTTTAATGCATGCTACAACATGGAAGAACCTTGAAGACGTTATGGTAAATGAAATGAGCCAGTCACAAAAAAGCAAATTCTATATGACTTTACTTATATGAGATATACAGTGTAGTCAACCTCACAAAAACAGGAAGTAGAATAGTGGTTACCAGGGGCTGGTGGGGAGAGGGAGTGAGGAATTATTCAATGGGTACAGAGTTTCAGTTTTGCAAGATGTAAAAGTTCTGAAAATATAGTACACAATAATGTGAATATGCTTAACACTACTGAACTGTACAGTAAAAAATGGTTAAGACAGTAAATTTTATGTTATGTGTATTTTACCACAATTTTTTAAAAAGTCTTGTTTGACACCGCATGTTCTCACTCATAGGTGGGAATTGAACAATGAGAACACATGGACACAGGAAGGGGAACATCACACTCTGGGGACTGTTGTGGGGTGGGGGGAGGGGGGAGGGATAGCATTAGGAGATATACCTAATGCTAAATGACGAGTTAATGGGTGCAGCACACCAGCATGGCACATGTATACGTATGTAACTAACCTGCACATTGTGCACATGTACCCTAAAACTTAAAGTATAATAAAAAAAAAAAAAGTCTTGTTTGAGAATGCAGATACATAGAGTTCACCTACACTGACACTCAGTTTTATAACATTTATGATCCAGGATGAGAATACCCTGGATACTGTATATGATGTGAAATAAAGAAAAAGAAGATAATTCATCTGAGTAGAGGTATACTTCACCTTTGAGTTCCATTGGATGCCATCCAGTCATCAAACAGTTTCATGGCAGTAGTAGAGCAGTTCCCCAGGTTGTGGGTGCAAGCAAACTCTAGCAGGGCTGACCGAAGCTCTCGCATAGATGGAGTGCCCTCATCAGTCCAAGTTTGTTGTTGAATTTGGTTTTGAAGTAATTTAAATACCCTAGTCTAGAGAGACAAAATAGATTATAATGGCTTCATAATAATTAGGACAATCAGAAAAAAAACAGGACAATTACAGCCAGGTGCAGTGTCTCGTGCCTGTAATCCCAGCACGTTGGGAAGCTGGGGCGGGCAGATCACCTGAGGTCAGGAGTTTGAGACCATCCTGGCCAACACGGTGAAACGACATCTGTAGAAAATACAAAAATTAGGCAGGCATGATGGTCGTGCCTGTAATCCCAGCTACTCAGGAGGCTGAGGCAGGAGAAACACTTGAACCCAGGAGGTGGAGGTTGCAGTGAGCTGAGATAGCATCATTGCATGCCAGTCTGGGCAACAGAGCAAGACTCTGCCTCAAAAAAAAAAAAAAAAAAAAAAAAAACAAAAGACAAAAAACAAAAAAAACCCCAGGACAATTAGATCTCTTTTCCCCAACATTTATCCAATGAGGAAAAAAAAAGGCATAGATATTACTCATTAAATATCAACTGACATATGAAACCCACATACGGCTGGGATGAAACCATTCAATAATAAGGCTATGCATAAGGCTGCTATAGCTAAGGGGGACTTTTAGTGATGTTAACTCAGAAAAAAATTAATGACTTCTGTGCAGTAGGGAACCTTTATGCTGCATATACTCAGCTAGAAGTTATTTTCCTGCCAAAAAGTATCACTTATAACCACTGCTGGAAGGATGTCAGGACTTCCTGACCTTGTGACTTTACAATCTATAAACCTATAAAGCAATGAAAGAAAAATAAACTTCTTTATTGATAGTTAATGTTTAAATGTTTCTCAATCCAATATTAAAGGTATATTTAACATTATTAACTAGTTTGATGTTATAACAAATTAACCAAATTAGCAAGAAAATGAGACCTGCAGGGAAGAATAGTTGTTTATAGCTTATTTTTTCTCCTAAGTTTTTATTTAAAGAACTTTCAAACCTACAAAAAAAGATAGTACAACACCCATACACTGTTCATCTAGATTCAACAGTTTTTTAACACTCTGACACTTGCTTCATTTTCAAGTGTGTATAACACACATACGCACACATGTTTTTCTTGTTTTAGCTGAACAATATAAAAGTGATATACAGATACGATATTTCATTTATAAATACTTTGGCATGCAACTCACAGATATCAGAACATTCTCTTACAGAACCATAATACCTTATCACACTGAAGAAAACTAATAGTTATTCATTAATATCATCCAATCTAGTCCATTGGTATTGGCTGTCATTGCTAAACGTATACTTGCGGTATTAAGGTACTAACAGACGCCTTTTTCATCTCTCTCCAAAATAAAAACACCAAACCTGTTAATACCATGTCGAAGTATTTCCATTCTGCAAGTTGTGCATGGCGGGTGGGGGGTGAGGGCACATGATATTTTAAAAAGCATCATATGCAATATGCTTTTATGAATACCACTAGAAAGAATAAAAATTCTGATATAAAAAATGTTTTTAGGTATTCTTTTTTTTGTTTTTGAGATGGAGTCTTGCTCAGTTGCCCAGGCTGGAATGCAGTGGTGCGATCTCAGCTCACTGCAAGCTCTGCCTCCCAGGTTCACGTCATTCTCCTGCTTCAGCCTCCCGAGTAGCTGGGACTACAAGCGCCCGCCACCACATCCGGCTAATTTTTTTGTATTTTTAGTAGAGACAGGGTTTCACCATGTTAGTCAGGATGGCTCTATCTCCTGACCTCGTGATCCACCTGCCTCGGCCTCCCAAAGTGCTGGGATTACGGGCGTGAGCCACCATACCTGGCCGTTTTTAGGTATTCTTTAGAAAACCTTCATGGCTACATAAGAAGGACCAAAATGAAAAAAATTCAACAGATACCCCCTCTGAAGGAATAAGCACAGGAAGATTTCTTCCTGCTGGTACTTCTTTACCTCCACCACCATCGTGGCATCTCATCTCAAGTAATCATGTACCACAGATGACCACAAGCAAAACCCTTAACTTCAGAAGTTTAGCTCAAGTTCTTCACAGAACATTGCTTTCTTCCTTTCTTTTAGGTATTGACAGTGAGTACCACTGAGTACCACTGTCAATACCTAAAATGAATCCTATTTGGAAATTTTTAAACTATTAAGACCATTATCCTAGCAATGACTTACTGTGAATAAGCATCTTGTGGAGTTGAATATGAGAATAGAAAAAAAGAATCTGCAAGGAAAAGAACTCAAGGTTTGTATAACATGTCAACTCGCTTGTGTTTGTTTCAAAAGCAATGAAACACAGAACAGACACCTTGTGGAATGTGTAAGTGGTAAAGCTTTTGAGTCACTGGGAGGACATGAAGTAGAAAAATACTTGCTACGCTGACGATGCAAGGAACGGACAAGCAATGCAGGGGATCCCACTTGACATACCTAACTGCATTGTTATGTGGTGTCTTCACTGGCCTTACCTTCTCAATAGCATTATGATAGAAAACCATTCCAAATGACTGGAGAACAAAAGAAATTCAAATCCTACTCATAACTGTCAAATAGGAACAAATGAAGAATGTGAGAAAAAAAATCACATGCTTGAAATCTTATTTAAAAAAAAAATCAGTGAAGAACAATGGCAATACTCATTGAGAGTTTACTAAAACACAAAGGCAGCAATGGAAAGAATGGCACTTGAAGTCCTGGAAGCAAAGGAAATCTGACACTTGAAGATGGCTGTGGCTAATTCCTGAGCAGTTACACCACCGAATTACAGGGAGCAATTTTACTAGTTAGTCTCCATATGAAATCATTAAGGCAAGTTCTCAAAATAGTTGTTTAAATGTATTTCAAATTATAACATAATAAAGTAAAACATTTTAAGAAAGAATAATTATATTATTAGAAAAATCCTGTTACAAAATATCATTTTTATAAGTAATCCAGGTTTATTTTTAATATTAATTAATATTAATGAGGCATAGCATGTGCTTCAAATTACCTTTCCCTTTTAGAAATAAAATGAAATGTTTTTCTAAGGATCCAAATTAATTTTTTTGAAATTTAAGCTCTTTCAACAATAGAATGCAACTCTATGATTTTACAAAGTGAAATGGCAAGTGGAGAGAGGAAATAAATTGATGGGTTATACAAGCTACAAACACTGGATTTGTAATAAAATGCAATAACAACAATATAAAATTATTTTAAAAATAAAACAGGGAAAGATGCTAGCACTTATGTTGTATATTACATTTTGATTTACTGCTTTAATTTTACACTGATATGCCCAGGGAGTTCTTTCCTGGGTCAACTGAGTTTCTTAAAAGTGAAATGTCAGTTTTTATTGCAAAAGGTTTATCCCACCAATGCCTCATATGTAAAAGAATGACAGATTTGTAAGTGATAAAACAGGAATATGGCTAGGATCAGATGTTAACATCAGATGTGAACAATTTAACACAATTGAAATGTGCCTCCAGACCCTACCCATCACAACACTACAGCATCACAAAATGCAGCATATGTCATGTGCAGCCTACATAACAAAATGACCAATAAATGTACATAATGCTTTGGTTCCAATGATATAGAAGTTAATTAGAAATCAGTCTTAGACAGTAATACATTTGAACGTCATATCCAAGGATTCATAAATGTCTCCTATCCCAATTCCTAACTGTAGAATGTCAGATTTCCTAGTTTGAGAGTATTGATGCTACCAGAATTTTCACCCTAATATTAGAATAAGAATGTTAAAGTGACACATTCTCCCTCTTGGTGAGCTAAAGTTAACTGGGCTTTTAGCTAACCATGTGAAGACACACAGCAGTAAAAGGGCGTCCAATCTTGGAAACACATACTAAGTCTTCTGCCCTTCCTCTCTATCCATCAGTCCCTAGATCCCTCCTTGAAGTATGTTCCTAATAAACACATATCTGCCCAGAAAGCTGGAAATCATCTGGGATGAAGATGCAGTTCAAAGAAGAGGTAAGTATCAAGTGCTTCTTGAGCACTAAGCTATAAACAGAGTTAACAGAGAGGCAAGCAGAAGACTGACTTCTGCCATTATGAAGTTTAACTGGGCAGCTTCAGAGTCGGGAGATATTCTGCCTCCTCACAGGGTATATTCAGAACTAACATTGCCCTTTAATAGTGAAAAAAAGTGAGTGATATGCACTAATCTTATTTATTGCTACCTGTACTAGGTTGAATAGTATCCCCTCAAATTTTGTGTCTGCCTGGGACCTATGAATATGACCTCATTTAGGAATAGGGTCTTTGCAGGTACAATCAAGTTAAGATGAGGTCATACTGGATTATGGTGGGCCTTAATCTAAGAATGGGGCAATTTGGGCACAGAAACACAGGGAGAACACTGTGTTGACAGAGACAAAGGCCACGGTTAGTCACCTACATGCCCAGGAATACCAAGGATTACTGGCAATCACTTGAAGTTAGGAGAGGGGAATGGAACAGATTCTTCCTCAGAAGGAGCAAACCTTACTCTGCCAATACCTTGATTTTGGCCTTCTGGCTTCCAGAACTATGAGAGAATAAATTTCTGTTATTTTAAGACATCAAGTTTGCAATAACTTGTTTTAATAGCCCTAGAAAATTAATATACTACCCCAAATGGTGTTGATATCATACTAATTACCTCAAACATAATTCTATGCAATAAAATATACTGGTCCTGGGGATAACTGGATATCCATACTGAAAAGAATGAATCTTGGTGTCTACCTCACACCATCCACAAAAATCAATTCCAGATGGATCACAGATCTAAATGTAAAGGATAAAATGATAAAGTTTTCAGAAGAGAACAGAGAATATCTAGGGGTAGGAAAAGATTTCATAAGCTAGATTACATTAAAATTTAAAACTCATATTAATAAAAAATCATTAAGAGAGTAAAAAAAAGCAAGATGGAGTGGGAGAAGATATTTGCAAATATACATGACCAACAAAAGATTCATATCTAGGATATATACAGAACTCTTACAAATCAACAAGAAAAAGGCAGACGATTTAATAGAAAAATAAGCAAAAGATGGGCATTTTACAAAAGAACATCTAATGGTCAATACATATATCAAAAAGAAAATCATCTTCACATCAGTAGAAAAATGTAAATTCAAGTCAAAATTGCAGTACCACTATGCACCTATCCACATGGCTAAAATAAAAAAGATTTAGTGTGAATGATAATCATCAGAAAAGATCTAGAGCACCTAGAATTCTCATATACTGCTAAGTGTAAATTGGTACAACTTTGAAGAACTATTTGATAGTACACTATTAACTATGCATGTGTTATGACTCAATAATCCCATTTCCAGACATATATCCCATAGAAATGCATAAAGACATTCATCGAAGACATCATAGCAGTGCTATTCATGATAGCTCCAAACTACAAATAACGCAAATGTCTATCAACAATAGCTGAACTGGTTAACTAATGGCCAATCTCTTTACTACACTAACACTAGAAAGTCGATATTGGATTCCCAGTTTGCCCTAAAGAGATGAGTAAGCTATTTGCATACTTCTTGGAAAGGCACATAAATATTGTTTTAAAAAGTCATTATTAGCATTTTAGATATAAAAAAAATCTCTTAAGTTGACAATTTCATTTTTAGGAGAACAACTAGATGTGGGCCAGTCACTTGAAACCTTAAATATATGGTCTGCAAGCTTTTCAAAAGAATATGACAAGAAGAAAGCTTTAATTTTTCTAAAGGTATCCTGGAAAGACGACGTTGCTAGGACACAAATTGATTTTACAAATAGCAATATAACAGAAACAGAAGTCTTTGGAGTGAAATTTATCTGGGTTTGAATTTCAGCTTTATCACTTACTAGGTAAGTGACTTTAAAGAAGCTATTCCGTCTCCTCGTTTATTTAATGGGGGTAGAAATATCTACCTTGGCACTGTGTGATAATTAAATGAGGTAATCTACATTAAGCACTAAGCACGGTGTGTAAAAGCACTCAAATGCACTTGTTTCTGGTGTGTTTCAATCATTTATTCACTCAACGTTTACTGAGTGTCACTACAGGCCAGGTCATGTTCCAGGCACTGGTTTTTATTAAGGCTGCTAGCTGAAAGCCTTATGAAATAGAAAATGATAAAAATCTTAACCATTAGAAGAGACCTCAGAAAATCATCTAACTTAAGCATCTTGCTTATGGATAGGGATGGGGTAACTCCTTTGGGGTCAGATCAGAAACTTTTGGGGGAGAAAAGCTTTTCAAGCTCCATACATCCACTCTGCCCTGCGTTCCCTCCATTCACTGAGAATCATGCAGGTGATGAGAGAACTGTTCATAGGAGACGCAGGGTAAGGCAGTAACAGAGGCAGAAAGAAGGTTGTGTACATATGTAACAAACCTGCACATTGTGCACATGTACCCTAGAACTTAAAGTATAATAAAAAAAATGTTAAAAAAATGATTTAATCCAACCCCTTCCTTTCACCAATGAGAATACCAAAACCCCAAAAGACTTATTCTAATTCTTGGTCTAATACTGCCTTCCTTTCCCTAAAAGCTGCCTTTTGCCTGGGTCCCTGGGAAATCTCACTAGTTTATAAAGCAAACTCTGTTGTCAAAATGCGCTGATTCAGAGAATTAGATAAAAACAAATAATTTTTCACTCTCTTCCAAGCTTTTAAAGTCTCTCAACAGTTTAATATTAAAAGTATCCAAAATAACAACTGTTAAGATCAGGCAGTTGATATTAAGAAAGGTAAAATGGTCTCTAATACTAAGACTCCTTTAGTGCTTTGCAAAGAAACATATCCACCAGCATCATTATCCTTTAGATAGTTATCAGTAAGAACCCTTAAACAGAATATTCTCAATACAAACGTAACTGTCATTTTATAATGACCACTAGAAAATTAATGGGGAGATCTACTTTGCAAAAGGGCCTATTTCAAACATTCATCATGTAGAAATAAAACAGGATCTGAATAGAGAAATATTATTCTCATGTGACCTCATTTTGACAGTGGTGTCAAATGTCTGTATTTTGATATTCAAACAAGACCATATCATACTAAGCCTTTATCAGCTCTTCATCATAAGCAACATCTTGATTTTAAGTAAAGATTTCACAAGCAGGAAAGTGAAGAAAATGGAATTTAACTGGTTGCTTTTTCAGCCTATTACTGGCTGAAAATGGAACCATGAATAACAATATTAAAGATAAACAGCAAGAAGCTGGCAAAAAGGCAGACTTACCACCAGTCTTGAGGCCAGATCCATGTATCCCAGTTTTTCAAGGAGGTTATAGATGAGGTCTGTCTGAAACAGGGCTTCGGTGATGGGTGCAGTATGGTTCTCATTTCCAAGATAATTAATCAAATCAAAGGCCCTCTTGAGAGGTACCTTGCCTAGGCTAAAGGATAAAAGAACAGGAAAAGTAAATATGCAGAGACACACAGAAGAAGTCTATGCATGCTAAAAGAGAAACTTAGGGTTAGATGGTGAGTCTTGGAGACCAAAAATTTAAACTTACAGTGGCATTTTGTAAAGTTAAGCTAAATATGATTATCTCTGATTAATTTCATGAGGCCCAAGATTAAAGAGGCATTTCAAGAGAAAGATAAACAATAGCTCATTTTTTTTTATTCCTAAGTCTCCTGTAAATTGCTACTAACTCAGCAAAAGTATAATATCTTGGGTTAGAAAAGATGAATAGTACTAATTTTATTTATTAATTAGTTATATTTGCCAGGAAAGAGAGTATAGCATAGAGAGTATCTGATTTCTTTTTTTAATTTTATTTGTTGGTTTAATGGGAATTTGTTTTTCAAACTTGTTATGACAAGGTCTATTGTGAATTTACAGTGAGTACATTTTTAAAATTAACCATTTTATAGGAATCACAGCAGCAATGGCTAGGATGACGTAAGAAGGGCACTTCATAAAAAACGAGACAAAATGGAAATGCCCAGGGAGATGAGAAGGAACACGTCAGTGTTTTTAAGCCTATCATCAATCTAAATTGGTAATATTCTATTCAGAGAATATGTTTACATGAGGTCACTGTCATCCTTGGCTTTGGGATTCTATAATGCATGAGGTGGTTGGGGAGGCAAGCAGTACAGATAAGGTGGCTCCAGCCATCAGAGATGTCCCTCAAAACCAATGCATAAGCACTAAGCTTCATGCTTAAACCAACTGCTGTTTGAAAATAATTCTCTTATAAAATAAAATAGAGCTTGAACTCGTGTATCAAGTTTAGTCAACAAAATATGTATCCTGTTTTTGATATCTAGTCTTGAATTATTATTAAATCCTGTTTCATTTAACTGTTCAGTATGTTCGTAGCTAATGTTTTATAAAGTCCCTGGAGGCAAAGAACACATATTTTCCCAATCCTCCAAAATGTATTGTACCAACCAATACATGCTAGTTCTTTCAAACTGTTTTTCATATATGTTCTTTACCTCAATGACATTTGTTTAAAAAAAGAAAAAATCTCAAACTAAGTATACTCTACCCTGCAAGTTCAAAGATGTTGTTGATAAGGTTGGCTCGGTCTTTGTCACTCAGAACATAAGGATTTATTTTCAACTGATGGATTAGTGCTTCCCAATCATCATCTGCATAGTGTACAATATAATAACCATTCATGTTTATATTCACTTTGACCCACAGCACTTCTTCTGTAAGATTGATGACACCTAATGGAAACCAAAAAAATGAGAGATTGAGAGAGAAGACAATTGGACAAGAAAAAAAAATTATGAGTGCTTTGTTTTTTAGTTTATTTTTATATTTAATCATTCTAGTAAGAAAAAAATGCCTGTCTCCAAGTACAGTTATTTTCACGTTAGTGAAGGTCAAGACATTCATTTAACAATTATTTATTTACTGTGCAATATTGGCTGTAAGCTAGGTGCTGGAAATCAAATGGTGAACAAGGTAGATATGTCTCTGCTTTTAGAGATCTCACAGTCTAAAGTAAACAGGCAAGTACAATATCATACAAGCGCTATTGACAGAAAAAGAAAAGACAGCATTCAACGAATGCACATAGAAAAAATGCTTCCCTCTCCTAGGGAAAGTTAGGAGCGATTTCTTGGAAGAAATGACATCTAAGTTGTCATTCTTCTAAGAGACCTCAAAATATGTAGGTGTTGGCCAAGTGAAGAAGATATAGTAGGGAACCCAAGTGCTCAAGGCCCAGAGAGAAAGTATACATGTTATCCATGCACTGAACTGGCTCCCAAGTTCATTATGGCTAGAGGAAAGAGGGAGGGAGAAAGTAAAGGTGTAGGATGAGGCAGCAGGGGAAGACAGTGAGAGAACTGTGTAAAATGTGTCCCATTTTGGCCTCTGTCTTTTGTCATGTTAGCAAAGGAAGAACAAACAAAGCCATTTAGAAAAGTCACATTATTTAAAGCTAGCAAAATAAACATTAGGGAAGGCTTAAGATTGCATAAGGGACAAATAAGAAATAATTGGGTTAAAACAATAGGAAAGGATAGGCACTTCTGGGGTCTCTACTATAAATGCTGAGAGAACTGTTAGAAATTTCCATGGAATTATGTCAACTAATGTACCAATAATGAAGCGCTGAGAGTTAACTGACCACAAAATATATGTATGAATTTTTAAAATCCTTAAAACTGCTAATGAAGAAATGTCTTTTAAAGTTGGCAACAAGGATGTAGACTTAATTATAATGGGGTATGCTTCTAAGCATCTTGAGGTTTACTATTATTTAATAGAATATAAGCTACATAAGCTTACTATTTTGCTTACTGCTAACGCCTCAGCCCCTATAACAATGACCTAGCAGGTACTCAACAAATACTGCTGAATTAGTCAGTGAATGAATAAATAATGACTATGTCACAATAAATAGTTTTAAATCAAGTGTAGACAAAGGTTTGTAGATATTTATTATATAATTTTTACCCCCTTTTAAAGTAACAAATACTTAAAAAAATTTTTAATTGTAAGAAAAAGAAGAGTAGAGATAAGAATAATCTAAACTCAGACGATGATAGCATTTTGGAATGTACTTCTTGCCAAGTTTTTGTCTTATACTTGTTTTTAATATTTTATACAGCAGATCTATATGCATTTATTTTATCCTTTTTCACCTATCAGATCCCCCCGCACATTTTTCCATTGTCTTCATAAGCAGTGTTCAAATATCTTCATAATATTTCATTTCAAGTTTATCCAATCTATTTTGAACAATTTAGGCTGTTTTAAAATGTTCACTATCATTATAATTCTGTAGTGAAGGTTTTTTATATAAAATGCTTTATAAATATGTTTTCAACCTAAAGATTATATATTAGTACCTGAAGCCTTAGCTTAGGTACTAAAGATTATATATTAGTACCTGAAACCTTAGGATTTATCAATTTCAAAAACATGAATTATTCAAATGTGTCAGATGCCCTTAATATCTTTGTTATTCCAATTATATCGATACTGCAAAAGATGTTTAAGATGAAAAAGACATTCTGATCATGTCTTAACAGGACATAATAAGCTAAGCAGTCTTTCTTACTAAAAAAATTCCGTACTTATTTCTGTTATATTGCTGATACAGCAACAGATGGGAAAGATCAGTTAAATAAGGTTTATTCCTTTTTCAAGGGCAGAATGCAGTTTTAAGGGATACTTGTGATGGCAGCAGTGGCTGCTCCAAGTTGAAGCCATTTTTAGCAAACCTATGACTAAGGAAATTAACTTTATCATTAGCTAATCCAAAAATATCAACACTCTCCAGGTCACCAAACACTATATCCTATGGAGCTTTTATCAAGAAAGAACCCTAGGGCTGGGCATGGCAGCTCACACCTGTAATCCCAGCACTCTGAGAGACCAAGGCAGGAGGATCACTTGAGCCCAGGAGTTTGAGAGCAGCCTGGACAACATAGTGAGACATCATCTTTACAAAAAATAAAAATTAGCCCGCATGGTGACACATGTCTGTAGTCCCAGCTACTCAGGAGGCTGAGGTAGGAGTATCACTTGAGGTCAACTATCACTAGGTCAAGGCTGCAGTGAGCTATGATCATGCCACTGTACCTTAGCCTGGGTGACAGAGCAGGACCCTGTCTCTAATAAAAACAAACGTAAAGAAAAGAAACAACCCCAGAAAGAAGGGCTACAGAGACCCAAGTCTCCCTTGCCCATAAAAGGAGACAAGAAATGATGGCTATGACAATTGTTCCACTAGATGGATGCAGAAAACATTGAAATACATACGGAATACCTTGGTTGATAAGCAGCTTGCCATGTTGTAAACCTAGCCAAGTCCAGATGGTAAAGAGGAGGGACACAGCTGGGAATATACTTGAAATTATTACTGTCATCGAGATGACACAACATAAAGCAGTACAGCCAACAGCACAAAGACAGACAGAGTTATCATTTAAAGAATCAACATCATTAGTCTCTTTCAGTTCTTCTGAATGATCCAGAATGGTGGACCTTAAAACCACAGGTATTGAAAAATAATAGCTTTGCACACAAGGGAAGTAACTACATCCTACAGCTCAAACGTGGATGAAGCTACCCTCATATGTTTTTAATTTACTATAGTCATCAACAGATTAACACTTCAATTTTCAGTCTATTGAGTAGCAAAAAAGAGTGAGCAACTGCAATATTAAATGGCAGAAGCCCAGATGAAGTAATCTAACAGTGATTTTTAAAAACCATTTGTCAATGAGCTACGAAAATCAACTACTGTTTTACAAAAAAACTAAAGTTCTGAAACTAAAAAACCCGTTTTTACTACAAAGTTACAAAATTTCCTGTACAGTTTGCTCCAGAGGGCTAGCATCATACATGCTATTGAACTTTATCACTCCTGTTCAAAAGCATTCCCTTCTCTAATACCCCTTTCTTTCTCCTTTATTAGGGGAAAAAAAGGCAAGAGCAGAGAATGGCACATGATAAATATTTTAATTACTATATGCCCTTCCTTCTTTCATCCTAATTACCTTTTCTTCCAATGACATATCTTTAACTTTCACAGCAGTATTTCTGATAGTGATATCCATTTGGAAACATGAATGTTTTGCATTAGATTTAATACGAAAATCTCCTATAGTTAAAGATCTTAGGTCTGAGTAAAATGTGGATAAGAAAGAGAGAGAGAGAGGGAGGAAGAAAGGGAAGAGGGAAACTTTAAAAAATATAATTCCTCAATATGTAAACTGGAAAAATGGCCCCATCAGCATTTCTTGTGCACAATAAATACTAATTGTTCAAAACTCATGTATGTGAGAAAAGGAGACAAATACATTGACCAAACATAACTCTTATATACAACTGAACTAATGAACTAACCCAACAACCCTTGAATTAGAACACATGAAAATATATTTAAAAAAAGAAAGAAAATATATTAAAGATTTAACCAACCATCAAGCATCAAAATAATACACTATACTAAAGTATTACAGCATAAAAGAAGCCTGAAGTCACCCTCTCTGCTACCTTTCTTTTGAGAATAGAAAAAATAAAAATGCAGTTAAATTAAGAGTAATTCTCACTGGAGCATTAGGAACCAAGAAGGCTCAGCTGTCCTCAGGGTCAAACGTAAGGACAGAAGTTTTCATGTGGACTCTCTAAACCCGAAATGGCAGGAATTAAAATAGCAGCAGCAGCAGCAAGGGAAATAACACAGTTGAGAAGAGGAAGTAACAGACACTACTTTCATCATGTATTGGCCCAGTTCCAGCTCTAGATTAAATCAATTATATTCTAGTGAATTTTGTATATTCCTCTTTACTAAGAAGAGGAAGAGAAAAAGAAAACATCATTTTATCAGGCTTTGCATGTTCTTTTCCTAGAAATTTTTATAGTGAGACTGGAGTCACTTCATTATGGACTAAAATTTACTAATTCATTAAGTTTTTGTGTGCCTACTAAGTGCTAAAAGTGATTTACAGTGATTCATATAGCCATGATCACTACCGTCAATGGGGGAAATACCTAATATGAGGATAGATATGAGTGAACAGTACTTACAGTATATTATGAGTGGAGAAGTAGAGAATGTTATTAAAAAACCTAAGTAGGGCATCTAAACTGTCTTCAGGGAAGGAAAGGTTTCCTGGAGCAAGCAATGGCTGAGCTAAGATCTGAAGAATAAACAGGAGTAGGCCGAGGGAGTGAGGAGGCAAGGGTGTTCCTTAAGGAGAGAAAATAGCATATGCAAAGACCTAAAGAGGCAGTATGGCATGTTTGAGTTGCTGATAGAATTTTTGTGCGGCAAAAGCACAGAATGCCAGGTAAGGGCCTAGAAGGCTAAAGCAGTAAAATATGAGCTAGTCTATGGGGTTAAACTCTCAAAAAGAGCTCAACAAGCTCAGAATAAACTCAGGTAAAGAGTAAAGAGGAGGGTGGGCACAGTGGCTCACGCTTGTAATCCCAGCACTTTGGGAGGCCGAGGTGGGCGGATCACGAGGTCAGGAGATCGAGACCATGGTGAAACCCCGTCTCTACTAAAAATATAAAAAATTAGCCGGGCATGGTGGCAGGCGCCTGTAGTCCCAGCTACTCAGGAGGCTGAGGCAGGAGAATGACGTGAACCCGGGAGGCGGAGCTTGCAGTGAGCTGAGATCGCGCCACTGCACTCTCACCTGGGCAACAGAGCGAGACTCTGTCTCAAAAAAAAAAAAAAAAAAAAGAGTAAAGAGGAGCCAGGTGCGGTGGCTCATGCCTGTAATCCCAACACTTTGGGAAGCCAAAGCAGGAGGATCACTTGAGGCCAGGGGTTTGAGACCAGCCTGGGCAACATAGTGAGGCCCTGTCTCTACAAAAAATACAAAAATTAAGCCAAGCATGGTGATACATGCCTGTGGTCCTAACTTCTTGGCAGGCTGAGGCAGGAGGATTGCTTGAACCCAGGGGTTTGAGGCTGCAGTGGGCTATGATATTGTCACTGCACTCCAGCCTGGGCAACAGAGCAAGACTCCAACTCAAAAAAAAAAAAAAAAAAAAAAAAAAAAAAACAAGAAAAAACAAACAAAAAAATCAACCAATGAAACAAAAAACAGATAATAAAAGCAGATTTCTTATTGCCCAATTATTTCTAATAGCACTGAAAATTAATATACTATCAGAAAGTTTGCAAAATTTCCTTATTAGTTTCTTGCAAATACTCCAGCCATGTTTTAGCTGTGCTTCAGGATATAGGGAGATGGGGTTATTTGTTCTCTCTTGGGTTAGAGACTATCCTTTTACGGCTCATTCAAAGTTAGAGTTTTGTTTACTCAAAGACAGTAGCAATTCCTTGTACTTCCAGCTATGCTATCAAAGATATGATGACATTACCAACTACCACTAGGATTTTAAATAATTAGATTGTTGCTGCTTTAACACTCCACTATGGTAAAACTGCAATGAAACTGGCACATTCATGTATTTCAGGTGGCATTATCAACTGTAACTACACAATAAAAAGGGCGATTTGGTTATATGTACCAAATCACAAAAGGTACTGCAGTCTTCATTTTTGAAAAGCATTCCTTAAAAAATTTCATATAATGGAAAAACCTTTAAGATTTGAAATATTTAATTAAGGCAATATTTTATAACAACAAATGGTGAATCAAGTAGGTTAAGTCAATTACTATATATGTTAAGTTAAAAAAGGCAAGATACAGAAATCATATATACATAATGATTTTGACTAAGTACAAATATTTATTAAAAATGACTATAAACAAATAATCATAAGAATAGTTTTGATAGGGTAATAAGATTTGCTCTCCATTTTCAAGGTTTTATGTAATATAGATATATTAAAGATTTACTTTTTCAATAACGTTAATGATAGTTAACATTAATACAGCACATAATATGTGCCAGGCATTGTTCTAGGTGCTTCATATAAATGAACTCATTTAATCCTCACCACAACTACATAAAGTAAGTATAATTACTATCTCTTTTGTACAGCTGAGGGAATGAGGCTCACATAACTCGCCTAAAATCATATAAGTGATCAATGGTACTGCTAAGAATTGAACCCGGCAGTCTCTAAAGTCTCATTCTCTTACCACTAAGCTACACTCACCCCTCAAAAATATAGGCTTTGACACCAGATCCAAATTCAAACGAGAAATTTTCCCTTTTCTTCAATCCAAAGCATCACTAACGGGTCCTACAGAACCCAAGAGCCTTGTGTTTCTTTAGGATGTAAATTAAAAGGAAGATATGTGGTGTGACATTCATAGTGGTATTTAACAAATGGCCCAAAATTACATTTCAATTGCTTTTTATATTGTAGGTCAGCATACACCACGTTTATATTTTACTATTCCCCTCCCCCTTCCTATCATAGTTTCATGCCCCATTTTCTTGTTCCCCAAAACATATACTATGTCTGCAGGGCATATTGCAATAACTATTTACTCTAAATCCAATCATGAATAAACCTCAATTATACACACAAATCATTTAGGGTGTATCTTGTTAAAATGCAGTTGCCTCAGCCCAACCCTAGACAGTAGATAGCAGAGGATACTTTAAGAAACTCCTCTTATTTTGTAACAAAATATTAATCTTGGGTATAAAAACATGGCATTCGCTATTTTCTTTCAGGAATGCCAGTACATTCTCTGCAAATTTTTGTACCTTATTTCACATGGCTAAAAGCCAGTTTTGTGCATGATATACAGAATCAATCTCACATTAGTCACATCTTGCATATGCAACTCATAAAACCAGTTCAGAGAGTGTGCACACTGGAAAGTGTAATCTTATATATGCACTCTGATCAGATTTTTAAAATTATGCCATTTCCAATCAGAACTGTCATTATAGTCAAACCTGATTTCTTATCCAGTAATGATACCGATTGATATTTTGAATAATTTCTTCCTTCAGTGACATAGGATAGTGGAATATGCCACAGGTAGCTGTAAAGAGAAAACATTGGAAAATTAGTTACATATGATTTTTTTTTTTTTTTAATTTGGTAGGAAGGTTAAGCTATTCCTAGGAAGGGATAATCTTGTTAGGTTTCACAAGAACTTATGATTATAAAACACTTAAAAATATTTCCACCTGAGAGTGCAAAAGAGATGGCATGAAAAGAAAGAGGGCATGTACCTTGTATCTGAAGGCTGAATTTCAGGCTTCATATTTAAAAAGAATCTCTCTTGTTGTATAAAAAGTTCCTTTCCTTTCTTTTGAACAGTCACTAAAGGAAATCCTTTCTGCAGGGTCCAGGTTTTCATCATTCTCTTTACATCTAGTGTTTGGTTTGTGACCTACAAAATATATATATATATATATAAAACTTTTTCCTTAAAAATAAAAATTGGTTTAAAAAATTTTACATTTTAATTTATCTGTACCCTTCCCTCTTTTCCTACCATCTATAAAGACTACATTTAATGTTAATATAAAAAAGAAACATGAATGTTGAGTTTACACTTCTAATCTAGGTAAATGAGCAACTGCTAAAAGGAATGTAACCTGGAACAGAGCTAAGTGATAGCTAAGGGAGTGAGGGAGGCACTAGGTTGAGAAGTGGCACATATATCAACCAACTAAGAATTCATTAAAATCCCTAAATTCATCAAGTTAAAATCCCTAAGAAGGTATAAGTATTCTTTCAAATCACAATACTAACATCTACAAGATATGAATAATGATATACAGTCTAGAATCAGAAACACTGCTACTCAATCCTGTGAAGCACCTGAGTCTGGGTTTCTCTTTATGCTCCTACCCTCCACCTCCACAATGATAGTCTCTTAGGACCTAATACTGTGGGAGTGCCAGGGAGCAGCGGCAGCAGAAGAGTGACATATGAACAGGTCAGTTGCCTTAAGTCTTTCTAGAAAACAGTGGTAAACTACTTTAGTGGTCACAGCCCTTCTTTCCCAGAAAATATATGAAGTTATCTATAAAATCTAGAACCTAGTGTCAGAGCTTTGCAGACCCTCTAAGGCCCAAAGCCCCTAAGACATCTAGTATCAATAACTAAGAAGCAATTTTTGAACAACAGTCTCTTTAAAGCAGGTGGGTTAAACTCAGGATTCAAATTATTTTTCTAGATTATATATGAATTTGAATTGTAAGCAACAAAGTCATGATGTACCTAAATTGATAAAATCACTCTACTATGGCAGGCCTCACCTCAATCACCATATGCCCATTTATTTAAAGCACAAAAGGATGGAGCAAATCTTCCCATTTTAATTAAACTTGTATTTATCATGGCTCTGACCTATTTATTTCTGAACCAGAGGATTAGAAGAAAATAAGCTTGCCTAAAACCAAGGTGCTTTTGGGTGTCGAAGCAGTATTGAAGTGAAGAGGCCAATGCATAATTTGATGTGGGTGCTGAAAAACCTGAGGATAATGTTAGGAACTAGTTTGGGATGGAAAAACACCATGATGCAAAAGTTGCAGTCAATGAGAAAGGCAGAAATATGTTCTAAATGCCAACAGATTAAGACAGTAAGTATAAAGTAAACAATGTGGCTTTCAATTGAAATACTACTATATGATCAGAGGAAAAAAACAATGATTTGGGAACAACTGTTAGGTAATAAGTTCTCAAAGAGAATTCAGAGAGTAGGGAAGGTATATCTTCTGGGCAAAAGACTAACAGCTAGAAAGTATCAGGATTCAGATGAGGCAAAGAAGCAGTAAAGAGTGTATGAGAAAGATCCAGAGCAGGGGTTCCTAACCTAGAGTCAATAAAACTTTGAAACTGTGTGTGATGTTCTGCACATATGTGGTTTTTCTGAGTAATATGGCCAGAACTTTCATCAAATTTCCAAATAAGTCTGTGATCTTTCTTTCTTTTTTTTTTTTTTTGAGACAGAGTCTGGCTCTGTCACCCAGGCTGGAGTGCAGTGGTACAGTCTCGGCTCACTGCAACCTCTGCTTACCAGATTCAAATGATTCTCCTGCCTCAGTCTCCCAAGTAGCTGAGACTACAGGCATGTGCCACCACGTTGGCTAATTTTTGTATTTTTAGTGGAGACGGGGTTTCACCATATTGGCCAGGCTGGTCTCGAACTCCTGATCTCATGATCTGCCTGCCTTGGCCTCCCAAAGTGCTGGGATTACAGGCGTGAGCCACCACGCTCAGTCAAATCTGTGATCTTTCAAAGTATTATGACCCATCAATCTAAATCAGGGTAACAAACACAAATGCTTATAAGGGTTTTGCAGTCAGTATACATGCATGAAGCAGCCCGGGTTCATGTGCTGCTTTGAAGTGTAACTTCTACATAATTACACTGCTTGCTAGAATATTTCCAGGAATGACAAAATTCCAACAGCAAAATCATCCAAGGATAATATGCAGTCAGCTTGTGATGTATCATCTACTCTGGAGGAACAGTCACAAAGGCAAGAGATTCATAGAGCAGAGTACAGAATCATTCAAAAGAGGCAGAAAAACTAAAAGGGTAAGGATAGGAAAAGAGATTTCTGGAAAAAAAGTCAAATAATGAAAATATAGTAATATTCATTAATACGGAGAAGACAACTTTCCTACAAAATAGGAATAGAAGTTAAGGTACAGGAAAAAAAAAAACAACTGGCTACCCAAGCCCACACACGTCTTTTCCAACAACTAAGAACAGCACTCCCATTTCTTGACATAAAATTTAGTGCTCCATTCATAAATATTTATATAGCAAGCTCCATCCCCCCCTTTCTTAAATAACTATGCTTTGTACCACAGATTAACTTACACACATGCTAAAAAGTATAAATAGACGAACTCCTCTCTTTTTACAGTAAGAGCTAAATAAATTACCCAGGTCACTTACCTCATTAAAACTATCCCACAGATCATCACTTTGAATAGATGCATAGCTGTGATTATGCAGGTAAAGGACAACAGCATGTTGAAACACATCTTCACTAAGGTAAGTTTTCAACATCAACAAGAGAGAAGATCCCTATTAAAAAAAAAAGTGAGGAAAAAGAAAGAAAATAATAGAATACTATAGATTATCGAATTGGGAATCTAAAATTCAAACTACAGTCATTCTAAAAATTTACTTTCATATGTAGAACTTAGTTATAATATACTGCTACTTAGTCTCATATAGATGTGGACTGTGTTCAACTGTCTTAAAATTATTTTAAAGGATTTGAAAAAGAATTAATGAGTAGATTCCCATGTGCACTATTCTAACCATGAGTCATTCTGTGTGGTCTATTGGTATACTCACTGTTTCAATGTTAGTGTTGAAAAGCTAAGTATTTATAAAAACATTTTAATAGAAAAACATGCCAAATTTTCTGTGGCACCTACACCTCCATCCCCAGTGCTTAAATCACCCATTGAATTTATTGTGTGCTGGAGACACAATAAATTGACAAGGCTCTCAAAAGTCTCCCTGCTAGGTAGGTCATTAATTTCTTATTTTAGTATATTGTGTTGTGAAGTAACCAGAATCTCTCTTCTTCCTGCAGAGTCACTTCAAATGCTTGGAACTAACAAATGTATAGGGCAGGGAGCATAATATTAAGGCCACACTATATCCATTGATGTGCTTGTCATCATTCGCAATCCTGAAATAAGCACCACCTCCTCTGTGAAGACCTTCCCGGTTTGAAATAGAAATCACATTTCTCCATCTTCAATACAATTTATATGGCATCCTGTATCTGTTACACATTTATTTCCTCATCTATGCAGTAAGCTGAGAGGAAAAAGTGAAAACTCAACTCCAATGACAAAAACAATGCCCACTACATAGTAGGCACTCTAGTAGTTTTTGAATGAATTTCACTTTTGATAAAAATGTAGTAATGTCAAGATTATTGTACACATAACTAAATTATTACCTATTACTCTCATTTCTGTATCACACTTCATAGCTATTACTTGTTCTATAAATTTAAGTACTCACTGTTGTCCCCAACAGTCCTTTCTCTTCTGCATCACCAACTTTTCCCTTCATACTGTAACATGCCCATTAACAAAACAAAAACGATGTAACATTCCTAATTTTAAACAAATAAAAGACTCTCTACCTTTCCCTAACTTCACCCTCCTCGTTACCAACTCGTTACCGTGCTGTTTTTTTGTTCCCCCATTGTAGTAAAACTCCTCAAAAGAGTTGTCCTCAATTTGCCATCTCCATTTGCTCTCTTTCCATTTTCTCTTGAGCCATCTTCTAATCATCACTCTACTGTAAGTATTTATTTATTTATTTATTTATTTTGAGATGAAGTCTCACTCTTGTCACCCAGGCTGGAGTGCAGTGGTGCGACCTCCACTCACTACAACCTCCGCCTCCTGGGTTCAAGCGATTCTCCTGCTTCAGCCTCCTGAGTAGCTGGGATTACAGGCACCACCACCACGCCCAGCTAATTTTTGTATTTTTAGTAGAGACGGGGTTTCACCATGTTGGACAGACTGTTCTTGAACTGCTGACCTCAGGTGATCCACCCACCTTGGCCTCCCAAAGTGCTGGGATTACAGGCGTGAGCTACCATGCCCGGCCGGAAGTATTTTTATCAAGGTCACTGGTAAACTTCCTGGTGCCATACAAATGTGAATTCTCAGGCTCATCTTATCAACCTATTGATAGCATTTGATATAACTGATCACCTGCTCCTCCTTGAGAGCTGCAAGACACTACTCTTGATTCTCTCCCTATTCACTGGCCATCCTTCTCGGTCTCGTCTACTGAATCCTCCTCATCTTCCAATGAAGAAAGTGTGTCCTTGCATCTGATCTTTGGACCCCTTTTCTCTATCTAAATTTCCTTCCTAGTTGATCTCCCAACTCCAAGGTTTCCAAATGATCCCCTGATTTATATATCTAATCAGACTTCTTCCCCCTTGAATTTCAGACCCATATCCAACTGCCTGTGTGGTATCTCCATTTGGATATCTAATCCATATCTCATAGTCACTTAGAAATGGAAGTTTCTTCCCCCTTCTTTCCCTAAACCTACTTCTAAAGCAGTCTTCTCCATTTCAGCAAATGGCAACTCCATTTTTCCAGTTGTTCAGGTAAAAATCTTAAAGTTACCCTGACCCCTCTCTCGTATTTCATATCTAATCCATGAACAAATTCTACTGGATCAATCTTTAAAACACACTCCAAGTCCAGTTGTACCTCCATCACCTTCACAACTTCCACCCTTGTCCAGGCTACCATTATCTCGCCACCCATCTATTACAATAACTTCCTAACTAGTCCTCTTTACTCCATGTACTGTTGAAGACTAGAGTGATCTTTTACAAAATAAGCCATATCACGGTACTTTCCTGATCAAATTGCTTTTCGTTTCACTTAGAATAAAATCAAGGTCCTTACTATGGCTTAGCAGACCCTATAATAATCTGGCCTCTTACAGTCCCTCTAACTTCATCTACTACTTTCTCCTCTGCTTACTCTACTTCAGATAACACTGGATCCTTGCTGGTGCTTGAACATGCAAAGCAACCTTTTATCTCAATCTCGTATCTCTCTCAATCTCATATCTCATGTGGGGGTCCCCAAGACCAGTTCCAGGTTTGATGATGCACTAGAAGGATTCACAGAACTCAGCATATAGTCATACTCACTGCTATGATTTATTACGGTGAAAAGATATGAAGTAAAATCAGCTAAGAAAAAAGATGCATGGGACAAAGTCCAGAGGAAACCAGGCACAAACTTCCAAGTCCTCTCCCAGTGAATCATGCAGGATGCACTTAATTCCTCCAGAAAGTTGTGACAGCATGTGTGAAATGCCATCTACCACGGATGATCATCAGAGATTCAGCACCCAGGCTGTTTACTGTGGGCTAGTCACGAAGGTACCTTCTGCCTAGCACATACCAAAACTCCAGACACCCAGAAGGAAATCACATTTTCAGCATAAACTACATTGTTTAGGCACAGTGAGCCACTCTTATGCAATAGTGGGAAATTTCCCAAAACCCAAGTTCCCACATGCCACCCAAGGGCCAACCTTGCAAGCAGGTCTTTCAAAGAATAGCAGTCTCAGGCCTCCTATATTAATTCTTTTCTGCACACAAGCACTATACATTGGTTATTTCTTCTACCTGGAATATTCTTCCCCAAGAAAACCACATTCCTCATGCCTTAGATGGTGTTCAAATGTCACCATACAGGAGGGCTTCTCAACCACATTATATTATAAACACCATTTCCTTTGTCATTCTCATTTCCCTTATCATGCTTTATTTTCATATTAGCACTTATTACTTAACACAATACCTACTTATTCATTCATTTGTATACAGTCAGTCTCTACCTTTGACCCCTGAAATGGAAACTTCACAAAAGAGACAAAGTCCACCTTGTCCCCTGATATAACCCCAGCACCTAGAACAATGGCTGGTATATGGTTAGTATTTGTAAGATTTGCTAAATGAATGAATTCTTGCAAGGCAACCTGCATCAGAATTAGGCTTGATGATTATAAAGACCAAACAGAATATGTCTGCTAAACGTATTTCCCTGCTGGTGCTTACCTTCTTGCACACAATACTGATAAGTTATCTAGTATCCCACTTCTCTTAATTACACAGAATATTTTTGCCAAATTCCCAATTCTGAAACAAGTAGTTACCATGTTGACAGGGGTTGACAATGATATGGAAACTACATATTCAGAAGACACTGAATTCTGGGTTTAGAGGGTTTGGGTCAGTGGCAGACAGAACTCTGTTATGACTCTGTTCTGTTATTATATAATGAACTTAGAGCATTTTAAGCAGGTTTTCAAATCCTGAAATAACTGCTCTAAGTTTGGTATAATAACAGAACCTCAAGTTTTAAATTTTCTTTATTGACAGGTCCACTATGGTCTTCAAAAATCACACCAGTAGCTCTAATTGGAATAGATTTAATATAGCTAACTGAACTCCTGATTTTCTTGTTTGTTAATAGTACCTGTACAATAATTCTTCTTGTCAGTCAGGTTTGAACCTGAAAAACATTTCTGCCTCTTTCTTTACTGGCCTTACCCTGTCACTAATACTTTAAGTACTTTCCCTGCCCAGTATTTTTTATACCCATTGTTTTCTTTCCACCCTTACTAGCACTCCTCATTTCAAACTTTTACCATTTCATGCCTGGACTTTAGCAGCAATTTCCTGACTTTACGTTTCTCCCCACTTAAATCTACTTTATAAACTGAAACCAAAATACTTTTCCTAAATAGTAACTTTAATCAAGTCATTCCTCTGTTCAAAAGTCTTTTCAAGCTTCCTGTTGCATAGGAAAAAAATAATTCCTTATGGTATCCAGAGCCTTCTACAACTGGGCCCCACTCAACTTTCTCTTCTTTTCCCTCTTCACGTGTGGCTTCCACTGTGGTCAAACACTGACTCTCTGAAAAAACATCACTTGCCCATTAGTACTTCATTTTCTTTGCAGACCTCATTGTTCCATTCCTGCCCTACCCTATACTTCACATTCCTCTTTACCTATATTTTAATTATTTAAGCCAACTCAATTCCCATTTACCTCCCAAAAGTTTCTCTTCCTTATCCTAGGCAAAAATTCTGTCCCACTCAGCACATATTACCTCTCTTATTGCTCCACAAGTACCAACCATCTGAACTTTCAGCTACTTGATGACATAGACTGTATCTCACACATTTTGTGTATTTTCTTCTCTATCTTGTCTGACAGCCATAACATTCATCCCTCCCCACAACATAAATGTGAATGACACCGTTATCACTATTCTTCTATTCTCCGACCTATGGTGATCCGAATGGGGTTTAACATTCTGCTTTTTCTTTACCTTGAAACCCAGGGCGTGTGTTTCAGATTCTAAAATCGAATCTTCAATTCTTAAAATCTCTTTTTGCTTACTTGTTTTGGCAGTCCTGACCTGACAGCATACCTCAATTCTGAGTAACACAGCCAAGAGCTTACTTAGGACCTTCTCTGAACATATTCTACCTGTAGATCTGGAGAGTAAACTGACTTTAAAAGATGCATCGCTATAAGATCTGGTTAATTGTCTGGAATACTAGTCATACAACTTAAGTTAGAGTCAGAGAAAGAAAAAAACCCACAAAAAAGTTATGACCAAGATTTATACAGAAGCAAACATTTTATAGTTTACCATTAATACCTGAAAAACATTTAATCTTTAAAATAATCTAAATCACACAGCTTGCTCACATACGAAATTATACGAAATTTTAAACCCACTCCAGCTACCTTTTTGTTCACAGCAATACCTTAAAATAGGAAAGAGAATCAAACATTTCTTCAATTTGTTCTGAAGACTGAACAGATGATGATATTGGATGAGATGAATTTAAGGAATCTTTCTTCATGGTTTTAAATCGAGCATCTAAGAAATCTTCATACTGTCAAAAAATGAAAAGATTAGAATATCACAAGTAGTATCAAATGCAAAAGTATAGTAAATTATTTATGTGAATTAGACTAATTAGTGTGAAATATCATTAGGAAAAAATGACCAGTGTCACTAAACTTCAGGATATAAGCTTTCAAAAATGTAGGAAGATTGTAAACTTCATGAATATTCCTTAAATTTAAAGATACAATTATAACCTGGCCACATTAAAATTAGCATTTCCTAAACAACAGCATATGGGAAAATTAAGAATCTATTACCAAAGTAAACAAATGCCAACTCTGAGTATCCAAGATGAATATTCTAAAAAGGTTAGCATATATTTTTTTAAATGAAACTTGAAATTTAAAAAGAGAAAGAACAAAAACTGGTCCTTACGCTGATTTCTTATATATAGTCTAGAATTTCTACTAAGAAAATATACATTTCCCTTACCTGAGGTCGGTTTTAAATAAAATGTAACTCTTAAACAGAAATAATTCTTTAAGAGCTCAGCAGATGAGCTCCCCTAGAACATGTATTAGACCTTTTTACACATTCTGGGCACCACCAAGTGGTCAAACTGTGTATCTCATTACTTAATTAAGTAGTATACATGGATTTAGAATATCTTTCTTAGTATTCTAGCTACCACTTGATATTAATTAACATCAATTAATTTCCCCTACCACTTGAAATTTTTCAACAAGCCCTATCTAAAATTTCAAATCAAAAGCTCTTAAGAGTACTTCTGTTTTAAAAGCCATCTTGGATTATAACATCAGGAAGTTTAATAGAAAGTCAAAAAATTTGGGGGTTGGAAGGTATCTTTACACTTTCCCACCTATTGTTTGAATTATCTTGACAATATCTGTCATATCATGGCCTAGTGTGTTTGAATATCCCTAAGTACTGGAAATATTTCCCAAGAGTCTAATACCATAGTGACACCACTATTATACTTCTCTGTACTGAAACGGTATTCCTTGTCTTTGGAAAAAGGCATAAAATGTGGTTTGTACCTTAAAAAGGGCAAATTATTTATTTGTACCAAGCTATATATCACTATCACAAGAATGTACACAGTGATAATAGAGAAACAGTATTGCTATAAAATGTTTTAATTTTTTATCTAATTTTTACACAGGATAAAAAAGTTTAAATTTTACACAGGATAAAAAAATTTTAATTAGACTTTGCAACTTTAAATTCCTGCAAGCAGAAGAACTATAGCTGTTTAAAAGAAAATGTTGCAAAACAATTTAAAATGTTCATCTTAATGACAAAAATATAAAATAATCTTATATAATTTCAGTTTTGAATGAAACACATCAGTAAATAATAGCATCCCTTTCATTGTCAAATCTCAAAAGGTATAGATATCAATAACCAAAGTCAAGTTTGGCATACCTTCCTAGAAACATTTTCATTACTCCAGATGCACAGAAAATACATGAAAATGTGATTTGACTATTTTTCCTCCTAGCATTCATAGTAGGCCAAAGAAACCCTGTACTTACACTAGAAAGCTCTTTGAATATTTTTTCCAAAGAGAAATACTCCATGAAAGTGGCAAAACCTTCATTTAGCCATAGGTCATTCCACCACTTCATTGTTACCAGATTGCCAAACCACTGGGGGGAGAGAAAACAATTAACCCACAGGATATTTACAGCCTCAGGAATTTTTTAAATAATTGGCTGAAGTGTCATATTAATTATCTATAACCTGATTACAATATCTTAAAGATATACTGATACTATAGTTAAAACAAACTATATTCAAATTAATTTAGAACTTACAAAAGTTGTATAAATTTACTTTAAAAATAAAATATAATTTTTAATCTTTTACCTTAACTGAATGGGAAACAAGCAAGAAAGGTTATTAGCATATTTATCAATGTAACAAACATGCAATATAGCATGAATATAGGGAAATAAAAACTTTTTTCGGCCACCTCATAAAGTGAGATTTCCAAGATAATGACATTTTTCTACCTTCTAATATCAAGTTAGTAAGATTATTTTCCATTGTATCTACAACCACCCATGACAACTAAAAAGTCTCTATGTGAGAGATTTTCCTGTAATCAGAAAGCCTATACTTTGTTTCTCCTCAGTTGCCCAAATTGAAGACAGTATATGCATGATTCAAAACAGAATTCAAACAACATTCCTTAAGACTAAGTTGACATATACAGGCTGGGCATCGTGGCTTACACCTGTAATCCCAGTGCTTTAGGAGGGCAAGGCAGGAGGATTGCTTAAGGCCAGGAGTTCAAGCCAGCATGGGCAACATAGAGAGACTCTGTCTCTACAAAAAAATTAAGCCAGGCATGGTGATGTATGCCTGTTGGCCTAGCTACTCGGGAGGATGAGGCGGGAGGATCAGTTGAGCCTAAGAGTTCAAAATTGCAGTGAGCTATGATCATGCCACTGCATTCCAGCCTGGGTGACAGAGTGAGATCTTGTTTCTTTAAAAACAAAAAAAAAAAGATGGCATATATAAACAAATGAAGTCAGAAAGAGCTTTAAATATTTTCTTCTATGAGGTAGTAAAAAGAAAAGAAAAAGGAAAAAAATAATAGGAGATTCTCCTTAAAAAATGTATCTAAAAAAATCCTTGAAATGAAAAGTAGTTGTAAAATATGTAATTTGGTCAGTGTGGTCTTGGGCTTATCTCAAATCAGCAGCGAAAGGACGAGGTTACTGCATAAAACAAAACACCTTTGAGAATTACAATAACATTTTTCTAAGATATTATTTTAAAACCTGTTTCAGAGGAAGATGATTTCTAAGTCCTAAAGAGGAAATAACAGAGAAATACTCCCAAATGGTGATGGGTGGCTTCAGAAATAACAGACCTAGAGGAGATCCCCCAAAAGACATCTTATCTATATGACCTATTTTTTTTTGAGATGGAGTTTCACTCTGTTGTCAGGCGGGAGTGCACTGGTGCAAACTCGGCTCACTGCAACATCTGCCTCCTGGGTTCAAGTGATTCTTTTGCCTCGGCCTCCCAAGTAACTAGGATTACAGGCATGCACCACCACGCCCAGCTAATTTTTGTATTTTTAGTAGAGACGGGGTTTCACCATGTTGGCCAGGATGGTCTTGATCTCCTGACCTTGTGATACGCCTGCCTCCGCCTCTCAAAGTGCTGAGATTACAGGCGTGAGCCACTGCATCTGGCCCATGCCCTATTTTTAAAGCAAATGAGAATGTGCTCATATGCCAGCTTGTCATGAAGTCTTCACAAAGGCTAGATTCATATAAGGTGTTTGATGTAGAAAATAAGCTGACCAGAATACATCCTATTCATATCCTGCCACTGTCATGACATCACCCAAACCATACCCAATGCTAGTTAAGCACCTCATCTAGGGCAAAATAGAGACAAGGTGTTAGGGAAGAATGGGGGTGTTATGTACCCATATAATTTTCTTTCTTTCTCTCCATGTCATACAAACAGTACCCTTTGCCATTTTCTCAGAAACCCCCTCTCCAAAATTAACAGAGAACCCCATTCCGGCAGGAGATGAAAAAAAAAAAAAAATCCAGCCCTGACAGCTACAGTTTGAGTTGTCAGAAGGGTGCAACTTAGGGAAAGAGATTCTTCCCCACAAAGTTATACTGGGCAATGGGCATTTGTCATAGGTGATGCAGCTGTGTATTACTGAGGGGGAAAAAGAGATCTTGAAGAGATAGTGGCTCTTCATGGCCCAGTGCTGCCACTTATTAGCTGTATGACTTATGGCAAGCCATTTATTTAAACTGAGTCTCAGTTTTCACATATGTAAAATGTGATTAATACCCACCTTAGAGAAGTTGCGAAGTAAGACAGATGTGAAAATGCTTTAACCTGTAAAGTCAAACATCTGATAGCATTTTCATTTGAAAATGAAGTTTGTGTTTAAAAAGCATCTTTCTATTATAAAAGAAGGCAATGCTTAAAAAAAAAAAGAATTATTAGCATCTAAATGCTAACAATAACTCCAGGACATGAAGTAGACCACAGGTGTGACACAGAACAGCCTTGGTTGCTAATACCTGGTGGGCCAGCTCATGAGCAATGATTTTAGTCACCAGCTTTCTATCCGCCATTGAAGAAGTGTTACTGTCATACAGAAGTGTCTCCTCTCGGAAGGTGAGCAAACCCCAATTTTCCATTGCTCCTGCTTCAAAGTCAGGAATAGCCACCAAATCTGGACATAACAGGAAATAAGTGATCAACTTTCCCTCATCTTAGGCATTTTCTACTCAAAGTATTTTATTCAATGGTTTATCACTGTGAAAGCAATGAATTCTTTTTATACTCACAATAAATGGAATCTTCCTTATTCTAGCTCTGTATGCTCTCTACCCACATGTCAGCTGAGGAAGACCTGTTCAAACCCTTTTAGAGTCACTGTTCCACTGTCCCTTAGTGAAGAAAGAGATGCCTAATTCCTTTACAATCAATCAGCTTCCCAGAGCAAGAAGGACAAAGTTCACGGCCAATACTCTACTCTCTAGGACTAGCTCCATGTTGAACAGCACTGAAATGTTCTTGCTTTCCTGAGCTCCCGTTACTCAGTTTTTATTATTTAAATAGGGTATTTCTTGGAAGTTAGAATTAGTCAAATTGCAGACTAAGCCATAAGCAAATTCCCACTTATACAGCACCTTTTTAGCAGCCCTATAAACTTAAGTGTTTTAAGCTCCAACTTCAGATATATTCATGAAATCTAAATAATCTTAACAAATACAAACAATTTTTAAAGCATTAATAATGGTTTTTGGTTTTCTCTGCAAACAACTTGGGCAGAACCTCTTTCTAAAAAAATTCACAAAATAAATCTAGGTTCTAATTATAACAAAAATCAGACACACTATTTGATTCTTACCCAATTTCTTAAGTGGGTACTGAATTTCAAAGTAGTTTTGAAAAAACTCAAGAAGCTTCACAGTTGTTTCCAAGGCATAATGAACTTGACCAATCTTTTCTGGTACAGCATATATAGAAACCTAAAGGAAAACATTATGTATGATGCAAGGACAGGTACAATTAAAATGGCATGATACTCAAGTAGCACTGTCAAGACTAGCATATCTGAAAATTCTATAGAATTGTATGAGATCCTTCTGGATAGAAACACTTGCTTATGGTTACTTTAGTCCCAACAGAGTTTACCAAGTCCCTTCCACACATACAACATTGTTGAAAGACTTACTGATTCCAACCCCGCCCCACCCCCGCCCCGCTTTTTTTTAAGCTAGCAACATCCAAAATAACTACTTTAGGTCATCTTATAGCAACTTATAAGTATTTGCCTATTTAATTTTATGATACTCTTCTCTTTCTCTCCCATTACCTGTAGCTGCCCTTCCTTACTTATGAGGTAAAAAGATTGAGAGTTATTTGAAAGACAAAACTAAATTTTCATCCTTTCAGGACCTCACCGTGCCTGGCATCTAGCAGGCACTCAACACTGAGGAGTCACATCTTATGATGGAGTTAGTTCTAAAGTTAACATATAAGGCATAAATTGCATATTTGTTGAAATTATCCTAGAAAAACCAATTATAGACCAACATATTCTCTTCCAGTAAGTATGGCACAGCCAGTTTTTCTTCCAATGCTGCGGACAGCTAACTTTTTTTTCAGTTGTTGGCTTGTTTTTAAGGGTCATGTTGTAAAAATAAATATATTATACAGAGAAACACTTGTTTTATGAGTTGTACACAGAACTAAAACCAACCAAGGGAACAACAGGTTCATGTCTCCCACTGCCCATTCACTCCCGGGTACATACTAAGAGACAAGGCAGATGGAATCATCCTTATTATTAAATTGCAATTCTTGCTCACTCTCTCTTTTTTTGGCTAAATGAATAAATTAAACATATATGATGCGACAAACTATAAACATTTTATTCAGGAAGTATCAAAAGGCAAGTGTTAAACAGCCATGTTCAAAGCAATGGGTTTTACAAAACAGTATTTATTTTTTTCTAATTGATTTTAAAAAGCCCTCTATACTCACCTGGAAAAGTGGGATGTAGATTAGACACAGTAGAAAATAAAAACCTCAAAATGAAGATCTCAACAGGTGGAAAATGGAAACTTTTTGAACAATTCATAATTTGGAAAAAGCACATTGGTGAACTCTTAACTCCAATTTTAGTTTCTCATTATGATTTTAAAACTGTCAACAATTTCTCAAAGCAAAAACATAAAGTGGGGAAAGGACATCTTATTCAACAATCAGCAGAGTGAACAGACAACCCACAAAGTGGGAGAAAATCTTCATAATCTATACATCTGACAAAGGCTAATATCTAGAATCTAAAAGGAACTCAAACAAATCAGCAAGAAAATAAAACAATCCCATCAAAAAATAGGCTAAGGACATGAAAAGACAATTCTCCAAAGAAGATATATAAATAGACAACAAGCATTTGGAAAAATGCTCAACATCACTAATGATCAGCAAAATGCAAATCAAAACCACAAAGCGATACCACCTTACTCCTGGTAAAAATGGCCATAACCAAAAAAAATCAGAAAATAATAGATGTTAGCGTAGATGTGGTGAAAAAGGAACACCTTTACACTGCTGGTGGGAATGTAAACTAGTACAACCACTATAGAAAACAGTGTGGAGATTCCTTCAAGAACTAAAAGTAGAGGAATCATTTGATTTGTCAGTCCCACTACTGGGATTGATCAATGAGTGGATAAATAAATTGTGATATATATACATACCATGGAATACTACTCAGCCATAGAAAGGAATGAAATAATGGCAATCGCAGCAACCTGGATGGAATTGGGGACGATTATTCTAAGTAAAGTAACTCAGGAATGGAAAACCAGACATCGTATGTATGTTCTCACTCATAAGTGGGAGCTAAGCTATGAGGATGCAAAGGCATAAGAATGATACAATGGACTTTGGGAACATGGAGGAAAGGGTGGGAGGGGAGTGAGGGATAAAAGATTACACATTGGGTGCAGTCTACACTGCTTGGGTGATGGGTGCACCAAAATCTCAGAAATCACCACTAAAGAACTTATCCATATAACCGAACACCACCTGTTCCCCAAAAACCTCTTAAAATAAAGCAAAAAACTGTCAACAATTTCTAAGAGGTCAAATAGGTTTCAACCATATTGTCTTTATGTGAGGCTTCAGTCTATAGAACATATGCATTAATCATAGAAATATGGAGGTGGCATAAAAATTAAACAATATAGAATGTTTAAGTAAATGAACAAAAAATGAAATATATAGGCTCTGTATTTACAGTGCTGGGGTTCAAATCTCTGCTATCTGTATGACCTTAAGCAGGCTAGTTAACCTTACTTTCCTTATCCATAAAATGGGGATAAAAGTGGCTCCTACCCTCACAGAGTTGCTGTGAGGATTAAGCTAATACATGTATAGAACTTAGATTAGTGCGTGACACAATGTCTAAGTGTTCAATAAATGGTAGTTATTGTTATTACAAATAGACTCCCATCGGAATTGAGGCAAAATATGTGTGAACAGAATATTTGTGGTTACTACTGGAAGAATTATATGTATAGAACTGGAGTTAACCAATTAAAAATATGTAGCTTTCTAAAGTAACAAGGGAAGAAATTTATTCTCCCATATTATGTAGCCAACCGTACTTCATTAGCCCAGCCTTCTAACACCTGAAGCCCTTGATACAGGACTGTGACCACAGCTTACTGAATTCAGTCACCGCCTACAAGCTGATCCTACTTACTGCATTTCCTGCATCTTTCCCCTACAGAAGTCAGTTTTAATATACACACACACACGCACGTGCACCTGACATACAATTTTTAAATCTTCAGCTATCATTATAAATAACTGTAACAAGATCAATAGAATTTAAGACAAGTCTTTATTAGCTGTACCTATTCTTTCCAGACAAACATATCTTGTGTTACAGTTGCCTCAATAATCTAGAAGATGGTACCCCAATAGAAACATCACTCATACCTCCAGATTACTCCTAAAACATTCTTCTGCCACACACACCATTTGGCAACTCCCATCACTGAGCACCTTTCCTTAGAGGACAAGCCAGGAGAAAAAGTTCACATGAAACTGAACTTTGACCAAAGGGTCCACTTATTCCCATCTCTGGAATACAATGATTAGGAAAAAATGTAGTTTAATACTTTCTCTTCCTTTCTACTTCTTTTTCTTTTCCTTAAAAGAACATCTGTAATGAGTTCTTACGAGAGATAAATAATCTGGTCATTACAATTATTATAAAGCTTTTCTAAGAGCAACAGATGCAGTAAGAAATAGAGAGAGCAACATAGCTCAGCAAAGAAAGTCTTGAACAGCATTCTGGACTTGGTAAGAGTACTCTAAACATTGTTAAATAAAAGTCAATCGGCACTCAGGCCTTAAAACTTACAACCTGAAACTTTTCTTGACAGATCTCTTTCAAAGATCTTATAGGAGATTTCTAAAAACACAACTAGAAAGATCCCTGATCAGCTCTCAAAGAAGGTTAACACTGAGCAATAACAGATTTAAGATTTGCTCTATTTCTTACTTAATATATAATAATATATATAAATATATAATATATAATTATATATTATATATAATATATAATATATTGTATATAATATATAATATATAATTATATATAATATATAATATATTATATATTATATATAATTATATATTATATATAATATACAATATATTATATATAAATTATATATTATATAATATATATATCATATATACACAAATATTATACACTTACACACACACATATATATATATACTGAGAAAGGATGAGAGCAGTCTACTTAAGGGCCCATAGCTAGTAAGCTGTCTAGGAGGGATTTCAACCCAATTAGACTCCAGAGTCTATGTTTAACCATGTTGTTTCCTAATACAGGAATAAAAAGCAAAAAAGAAAACATAGTCATCTAAAACTTCTCTATCTCTTCCTCTTTCCACACACATACACACAAGCATGCACATGCACACACATATATGAGAATGCAGTGTGTATGTGGGCAATGAATAATTCAGCTTGCCTAGATGAAAGAATTCATAATGAGGCAATTAGAAATATAGCTGAATTTGCCAGAAGTATGGTTTAAACCTGTAATCTCAGCACTTTGGGAGGTTGAGGCAGGAGGATTGCTTGAGCCCAGGAGTTTAAGCTGGCCTGAGCAACATAGCAAGATGCCTCTACAAAAAATTAAAAAAACAAAACAAAACACCTAGCCAAGTATGGTGGCAGGTGCCTGTCTGTAGTCCCAATGACTTGGGAGAGAATCACTTGAGCCCAGAACTTTAATGTTACGGTGAGCTATGATTGCACCATGTACTCCAGCCTGGGTGGCAGAGTGAGACCCTGTCACTAAAAAAATTTTTAAAAAAGATCCCAGCACTTTGGGAGGCTGAGGCGGGCGGATCACAAGGTCAGGAGTTAGAGACCAGCAGGCCAAATAATGAAACCTCATCTCTACCAAAAATACAAAAAATTAGCCGGGCGTGGTGGAGGGCACCTGTAATCCCAGCTGCTCAGGAGGCTGAGGCAGGAGAATTGCTTGAACCCGGGAGGCAGAGGTTGTGGTGAACCGAAATTGTGCCACTTGTACTCCACCCCAGGCGACAGTGCGAGACTCTGTCTCAAAAAAAAAAAAAAAAGAAAAGAAAAAGAAAAAAGAAAGATCAGTGTGCAGATGGGTGGAAAAAATAAATTTTAAACAAGAAAAGAAATATTGCTGAATTTATAAGGAAGGCCTTGATTATCAAATGATGAATCTGAATGTAATCCTACAGGTAGTGTGAAGCAAACACAGCAGATGAGAGAAAGGGGGAAAAAGGAAGAGAGAGAGTGAAGAGGAAGGAAGAAAAGAAGGGGGGAAAATGCCAAGACTGCATACATTTTGGGATACATAAAAAGTGCTGGGGGTTTTATACCAATGAGTATTAAGAACTACAAAAAAGAGATAATTAAAGTGCTATGAAAGATCAGAGAGGGAATGATTAATTCCAGCTGGGGAAAGAAAGAAATGCTTCATGGAGAACGTAGTATTCAGCTGAGTCTTGAAGCAGCAGCAAACCTGACTCTTTTAGATTGGGCTTCTTAGGCTTTATCAAGGCTGCAAACTCTAAATCAAAGGCTAAATATGTAGTGCAACACCTGAAGTGGAATTAATTGAATTATTTCAGATTTAAGCCAGTTATAATATCCTTTTGAAAGGATTCTGAAAAATCCTTGACATAAAGTCTTTCAATCCAAAGGTGAGTGAACCATTATTTAGCGCTTAATATTACAGTCTACACTTACCATTAAAAACTTAGTTTACTTTTTGAGTAGCATCATTAAAGGCATACAGTATTATTACTGATAAATCACCAGAGAATCCTTATCTCTGTCCTTATCTCTGAAAGGTATGGGATAGACGTGATAGTCTTTTCTAATAGGAAACATATACCCTTTTGAAGTAGCAAAATGATAAGATCCAAGTATCCTGTGATTAATATAAAGCTCTTTAGTCTAGAAAGGAAACCCAAAACTAGCAGTATATTCCCTGGTAGAGCTCAAAAATACGAAAACAGAAACTAAGACATTCTATCATATTTCTATCATCAAGAATAATTGTTTTTAGTTTAATAAATATGATAGAATGCCTTTTCTCCTTCTATGTTGTCAGTATTTGAAAAAATTAACTTTATTAGGTTTCTACTATGAAATCAAAGTATAAAGTCCAATCAAATAATCATTTACAAACAGGTACAAATGATAAAGAAAAACAGAAGAGTCTAATTTTGGCAAAATACAGATAAACCAGACCCTTAACTAAATAGACAATCTTATTCATTAGGAAGAGGAATCTCATCAGGATTTGCTTTGAAAAAAGGGAGGACTCATCTAATTTTTACAACCTAGAGCTATCGAATATGTAGCCACTAGTCACATGAACACTGCTGAACACTTGAAATATGGTTAGTGAGACTGAGGAAGTGAATTTTAAATTGTATTTAATTTTTATTTATTTAAATCTAAATATTCCCCCTAAGGCTAGTGGCTACCACTCAGTTCTAAAAGCTTTAGTATACATATAGTGTCTTACTAAAATTCTCTTTAAAAGTAAAATTTTTTAAAACTTGAAAATTATTGACTTTCAGCTATTAAACTAGTAACAGTAAATAACAGCTAAGCAAAAAAGTAGCATTTCTGGTATAAAATGTCAGAGTGTGATCTAAAAGCTTATTTATTTCACACAGCAAATACCAGGAATCGTTAAAGCAAGAGGTCCTCTGAGCCTCTTGTGACACAGGCTTTCAGACAATTACCACATCAACATACCAGGGTTCCATTTACGTCCTGACTCAGGTTCTTCATCTCTCCCACAATGAAAGCAACCAAGTAAGTGCTCATCTTCACACTCTCAGAAAACTCATCCTGAACAAGTCCATCATCTAGAACGACTGATGACTTCTACAAGCAAAGGGGAAAAGACAGTTCTGTAACTATAGGAATAAATGGCAATAACAAACAAACTGAGAAACTGAAAATTCAAATAGGAAATAAATGGTAAAGATGCTAGCATATTATAACCTCTCAGTATGAATTTCTGCAAAGAGCATGGCTCCTAGTCTCAGTCTGTTGTACCATCCTTCATCCTGAGGACATATGGAGCACAGTGAAACTCCTCAAGGAGTTTTTAGTCCCAAAGATGACCAAATAAATGTTAAGTTAAAGATAGTCACATTGGTTCTGCTTCTCCCATTAGAACACCTCCAAAACCAAAATCCTTCCTTATGACCTGGGATTGCTCCACTCTACTGCTACAAATACATCCACAGAAGGAGCTCTAGCTGCGACATCCCTTCAAATGATCTGAAATGGCTTCATGGGGTGCCATGTTGAGGACCCCCAAGAAAGCTTAGTGGGAACAAAGTCAGTAGTAAGTCATTAGAGAAGTCTGCAGCAGACACAAAATGAGGGAATGTAGGCAACCTTATAGAATTTTCCAACCACAAATTAAAGTAGGCATCTGCCTCTTTAGAGAAAGATGAAGGTGAAGAGTATGGCTGAGTGTGCAGAGTAAGCTGGTACAGTGCTGTCTTGTTACAGATTATGCTCTCTGCTGCCTACAGGATTGGCTCCATAGCCTGCTGGGTATGGCTGCTGCTCCTCTCCCTTAGCCACATGGGTCCAGGAGGCTCCTATCAAGCTGCACAGTCCCTCAGGTGTCTAAGACCAAAAAAAAAAAAACAAAAAAAGACCCCCTAGGCTCCAGGTTTTGTTTGGCATAAAAACAATTATTGGTTTCACCCTCACTGCATCCCACACAGAGCTAACATCTAAGAAAGAGGCTCCTGTTCTAGTTGTCAATCTCCATATTATAACAATATTGGTTTTTCATTTACCAATAAAACACCAAAAAGAGTTATTATTCAACACTCTCAAATAACAGTTTAGAATAGCAAATTCATCCTGTCTCAGAAAATATTACTCTAATCTTTTGCTAGTTCATTGTATTAATATTTGCACAACTTAATATACAATGCACACTCACATTTCCTATCCACACATTCCAAGTCCAGCAGGTCTTTCTCTTTCCTCAAGTCCTCCTCAAGGTGACTTCCCAACTGATGCCAATATATTTTAATTTTTATTTAAGTATTTTAAGGAAGAATATTAATGTATATGATTTTAATCATTCTCAACTGTAGTCTGGCAAAGAGGAATTTAAGTGTTCTTAAAGAAAGAGACCCATTCAAAGATTTTTACATTCAAGGAACAGAACAGTACCTTAGGCATATTTGATAAAGCGGTGTATTGCTCATCCCTTATGATCTTGATGATAAAAGTGGCTTTAAATGCTGGTTCATCAAAACAAGGAAAAGCAGATCTTGCTGCCAGGGGTTCAAACTGAGTTGCTGCAAAGTACCTAAAACAAACACAAATTCAATCCAGTAGTTACTGAGCACCTACTGTACAAGGCACCCTGCCAAGTATACTAAGATAAATATGTTACAATCCTAGTTACTAAAGGATCTGCAATAAACTGGGAAAGGCAGAGGTTTATACAATGAACAGAAACTTACATCAGGCTGTAAGTCATGTCCTAACAATGAAAATAAAGCAATGGGAACAAAGGGAAGGAAACAAATTCTGACTAGAGGTTGAAGATATTATAAGGAAACATGCAGAAAACCTGAAGAGGGCCTAAAAAGATGAGTATTTGAAAAGGTGAAGAAGGGAAGAAAGTATACTCTGGAAAGAGTGGGTAACACAAGTGTGGCAAGCCAGATCTCACTAACGCAGGCCTCCATAACAACTGTTTCAGTACTGGCTGAGTGGTTAAGTTAAATATTAAAAGCCAGTGCCCTTATACAAAGGCTGGAATTTAACAAAAGCCCACCAAGAGTTTTGCCTGGGTCTTAAAGCATGACAAAATAATGAAGGAATTTTTAACAGGACCCATTTAGGATTAAATAAGTTTTATTGGAGGGTCTGAAGAAACTCCCCAGGCCTCCACAAACAATTACTGGAGGTCTGAAGGAACTCCCCAAACCTCCGTGATTTAGCAGGAGACAACATAAGGGTAATCACCCCAGCACCTGGACCCATTTAGATTAAGTAAATTTACTGAGGCTCAAGAGGAAGGTCTTCAAGACTCGGACCTTAGTTATGGATTAAAAGAAGTTAATCACTTATGTCTTTAGAGAAATGCACACTTACACGTAAACATATAGTTTAGAAGGTATATAAGCTCTGGAAAACTTTGTAATTTTGAGTTGTTCTGGCAATAATTTCCAGGCCTTCTCCCTATATAACTGGTTATAGAAATAAAAAGTCTCTTCCCAGTTCATCTGCATCTCGTTTTGGGGCAGCAAAAAATAGCAGCCTGACCCTCAGTTTGGTCCGGGAACACAAGAGAGCAGTGCATGTGCAGAAACTGGGGGTGGCTGTCCAGTGTGGCTGGAGATGAAGCCACAAAGGTAGGCTGCAACTGGCCACTGAGGTCTTAAAAAGGTTTCTGATGGAAGATTATTAAGAAGGGTGGTCATTAATTGCTGCGAATTATCTGTACAGACTCTGGCTTCACGATACCAAACCTCAAATTCACAGCTTGCATTTTCATGAAGATTGAAAAAATTAGGTGTCCTGTAGTATTCTGGTTTCCTTTACTCGCCTCAGAGATTAAAAAAAATTTCCTCCTCTTTCTGTAGCACACCAACAACAGTTGAGAATATGACACAGAAAAATCCTCAATTACAGTCCAGGCCAGGTGGCTCACGCCTGAAATCCCAGCACTTTGGGAGGCCAAGGTGGGCGGATCACTTGAGATCAGGAGTTTGAGACCAGCCTGGCCAACATGGTGAAACCTCATCTCTACTTAAAAATATAAAAATTAGCCAGGCATGGTAGCACATGCCTGTAATCCCAGCTACTCAGGAGACAGAGGCAGGAGAATCGCTTGCACCTGGGAGGCAGAGGCTGCAGTCAGCCAAGATTGCACCACTGCACTCCAACCTGGGCGACAGAGCAAGATGCTGTCTCAAGGGAAAAAAAAAGAAAAGTCCTCGATTACAGGTTGGTGGAAAAGCATAAAAAGAAACAAGGAGAAATGCAGATTTTCAGTTAAGTAAAAGAATAACTAGATCTGAACTTGGGAGATCATCCCAGCGTGGCTATAATCACGGCAAATATATGGCCCTGGTGTGCATATTTCAGGTACCAATCAATATAGCACATATACAACCACCACTTGGAGGTGGTAGCCTCTCTCATTTTGGGCTTAGTTTCCACTACTAGAAGATAAGGAGAAAAGAAAGAGTATGAGATTTGGAGTCAGAAGACCCAGACTCTATAATTTACTAACCACATGACTTTGGGCAAATCAGTAACCTACATCTCATACATCTCAATGTCCTTACATCTCATACATCCCAACGTCCTTAATAGTTAAATTAGGACTGAGATAGAATCCACTGCCAAACACCAGGGTTTTTGTTAGAATCAAATAAAAATATTTATAATAAAAACGACTTGTATACCATATGGTCCTAAAGATTAGGATTTTTGTTAGAATCAAATAAAACTATTTATAATAAAAACTACTTGTATATCATATGGTCCTAAATAGATATTTATTACAAATGCAAGATAGTCCTAACTTCTTCCACACTTAAAATTTGTGTACTTTTTTTGTTTTGTATTCTTTTGTTTTTGCTTTTTTTCTGTTAAGGATGTGTGCCCAAATAACTGTTGCTATCGAATTGGGTAAACTGCAAGAAAGGTAGCAATCAACATACATGAAACAATTTACACATATTATGTTTCTAACATTTCATTTCTTCAACCCACCCCCAACATTCTTATGTAGTTAACAGAAGATTTTGGAAGAGAAGCATAAGGGACCAGGGAATAAAGTTTGATGTTATCCCTACTATTCATACAAGAGAGACCCACCACTTTTGGATAAAAATTAGATCATAACACACTAAGGCGAAAAAGCCTTAAACTGTTGTTAAGAGATCCAATCATAACTATCTCACATAAAAATCCCTTTGAGAAGGCTGCTGCTTGATAATACTTATAACCTGTTCTATCTATGCTGAATAACTTGAAGCTTATTCTTTCACTGGAGAGTATATTTCCTTTCTGAAATACTAAAGTTGAACACTTTATCAAGTAGTGTTCAAGACAATTACAAATTAACTGGGGATAAGAGAATTTCAAACACTGGAGATAACAATGTACAAAGGAAAGCAAGTATGAACTAGAGAGGCAGTGCACCATGGTGGTGAAGAATGTGGCTTCTGCAGTTAAAATGACCTTGAGTTTGAGTTCTCCCTCTGCTATCTGCTTGCCATGAGATGCTGGATAAGTTACTTTATGTGCCTCTGCTCCCTTAGCTGTAAAATGAATATAATGTTAACATCTATCTCTTAGTGAGTTTGACAGAATAAAAGACTAAACACGTAAGAGGCTTGGAACAGTTTCCAGCCCTTCAGTTCCAGGTGAATACTGGCTATTATTATCATCAGAAAGTTCACCATGGCAGGTGAGAACTATGAGAAAGAAAAAACAAGGGTAGATCAAAAACGGTCTTGAATTAAATTCTGTTAGAAACGAGGAACTGCTGAAACACATCCCTATCCTGAATTTGTTTACTAGTTCTTAGTATCAGTTTGTTATCTAGGACTTTAAGCCTATCATAAACAACTTTGAGATTTAACTCCAAGGTTACTGACTGTCTCTGTCTCTTAGATCACATGGGTAAAGGTAAGTTCCCTTACAACAAGCAGTGTCTACGCAAGGTGTCTGACGTTTACATACAATGGTTTTCCAATCAACAAGAAATATGTTCTTAGTATGCAAACAGACTTTTAGGACATGTGCCCTAGCCATCTCTTCCCATCAGAATATTGACCCTGGAATCCTTGTACTCGTTAACTATTTAATGGGAGGAATAAATACAGCAGAGTAAGGTGATTTTTGGTACGGCCACTTGTTGACTCTTGCCATGGGCTGGATTGAGTTGTGGAAAATGTCAGAAAAATGAAATATGTTTCTTTAAGATTAAGAAATAGAGTATTATAAAACAGTATTTTACAACCTATTAAAATAAATTAGTACGTGAAACTCTGCTATTCAAAACAAAATAAAAGTATCAGTAAAATGAATCCCCCAAGTGATAGTATATCTTGATTCCAGGTAAATGTTTAGATTATTTATACCTTTCAAGATGTCTGAAAACTATAATTCAAAGCCATTTTTTTGTCTTTCTCTCTTTTAATTTTGCTTAGTTCTATTAGAGAAGCTTTTATAAATTTTTCTTCTCTGAGGTATGATTAGAATACATATTTATACTGGTAGATAAAGTAATTAAGGGATGTATTTCTTGTTTTTACACATAGCTTACATTTCCTGGGGATAATAGGCATTATAGAAGGAGAACTAAAGGCAAGAACTTTCAAGTTCCCATTGCAATTATACATTTGTGTTCAATCCCAGATCTCACGCAAGAATTGAAATGCAGGGCCAGTATGCCATTTATTTTAAAAGTATTACATAGAGGGAAAATAAAATAAAAATTATTTATCTGAATAGAATTATGGATCTTGCTTGGTCTCTTTCTCCATTTAAGAAGGATCAAAAAGTTTCCTTTAGATGTAGAATACTCATTTCTAACTATTTCTCTTAATATGTCAACATACATTAGCCAAATGGTCAGCATCAGTAATTCACATATTGTTTTACAGAGTAATATGAGAGAATGTTCCAATTGCATAAAGCAGATGTCGTGAGGATTTTGTGCACAAGACAACTGATATCACTGCTACTTAAGAATAACCTCCATACTGTGTGAACTCCATCTTCCCAGAATTTCAAACTACATGCTATGAATGCTAAGATTAAAGTACTAAATATATAGTCCAAATAGGGAGCTGAATAATTTTATATTTTGTCTCACCTTTTTTTCTGAACCAAATTAAGTCTCTCCTAGACCTTAAAAAAAATTTACACCAGAAATCCAAAATAGACTGGCATTTTAAAAAATAATAAACCAGTAAAGATTAAGGATATTAAAAATGATATATGTAAGCACACCACACTTCACACTTCTTCATGCCCTCTTTCTGTATTTCACTAAGTACCTCCTAAAAGTTCTGCACATTAGGAAAATAGGTCTTAAAGAATAACTCCTCTTTACTCTGCTTCCCAACAGACTTCATGAGGTGACAGAAAACTAGATTCACCTTAAAAATGTGAAAAACTCAAGATAACAAGTTTTGGATATAATCTTTATCCATCCTTTTCCACCAGCACACCCCTATCTCCACCCCACCATGATATATGCTCAAGGCGTTGACTAAGAGAGATAATATATTGTTCTAAATCACCATTCTACTATTTTGTATATAACTTCCTAAATTAAAAAAAAAAATCACAATTCGTGTCTCTGGTGTGGACAAAGGGATCTATATTGCAGAAGTTATCAGAGCGTAAAACCAGAATCATTTAAGAGGGCTACCTACTTTTTCTCATTACTTTCATCTGTGTAGGAGAAGCCATAAAACCCATAATAAGAACTAGATATATTTGCCGAGTACTCTATCTTCAACGTATAATTGTGCCCTGCTAGAAGGGCTTCGGGGGCAACAATGGCGATCTGTCCATGATATGCATATTCCAGGATCTCAGCTTGTTTTTCTTGGCTTGAAACTGCTGACATAAAGGTCACTCTTGAAATATTATGACCTGTGCTATGAAGAATGATATTCCATGTGACCTGAAGAGCCTGAACTGAAATTGTCACAGAACCCCTGAATGTCATCGAGGTTAGGTTCGGGTGTAGGCTGAGTTCATAGCGTAGTGGCACAACGGCAGTGGGAAGCCTGATCTGTGCCCATGGAAACAATTTCCCATTTGTTGCAAATGGCTGAATTAGTCCAATTGACTGGTTTTTTTTATGGCAGCCTTCTTTGGTAAAGGTACATCTGGGCAGTAAGTAAATCACCATGATTACAGAAACAGCAACCACGATGACAAAAGCACAGACCACCATGGTCCTTGCAGAGGGTACTGAACAAGCCCCATCTGGGCTCTGCCTGTAACCAGTTGCACTGTTCCGAAGGCCTGAGCTTCTATTCATGAAGGACATGCCCAGCAGCTTTGCTGATGACTCATAATCCTCTTCATCCTCCTCCATCTCATGCTCACCAAGACCCCGCACCAGCAGTCGGGAACCCCGGGGCTCATATTCCACCTCATCAGGCTCTAGAGGATGTAAACAAGGCTCTTTGGCTAAATCCACCACATCTGGTTCTTCCTCAAACATGCTGTTTTCAATCATATTCCTGGGGAGCTGAAGCCGATCTAAAAAACCAAAACATAAGAACAAGGCACAGAGTTAGAAAAAAAAAAGCTCATAATATTAATAACATGTCTTCTACCTAGACCACATTTAAACTAAGAATTTTTTTAAGTCACTAAGACTTATTTCCATCTCAGAGCTACTGAATTAAATAAGATGTTTATACCATTGAGTCATCCATTAAAAACTAAAACATAAATAAAAGTATACCACAGTTATGAAACAAGAAAGCTAAATAAACAGGCTATTATATTTTTAAAAAGTTAGCTGAGATAATATACTAATTTCCTTAATATACTCCTGCCCCACAACCTGGGACCCTGCCCTGGGCTTGAGAGGGCACTGTTTTGGCATTCCTCTGACTATGTCTGTCCCCACCAGGCGAGGAGTCAGTAGGATCAAAGGGATGTGCCCACCTACAGTCCACGGTTCCCCTTCTAGGGTTTGGGCACTGCAATCCCAGAATTTCTGTCCAACAGGCCTCAAATCTGCTTCCAAGGTATTTGTGGGTCTCATCCCTGAGTCTCATTCTCTCTAGGGAGCACCACAAGCTGGTATGCCCATTTCTAAGATTGAGTATGGCTAAGCAACAGGATGGGTTATTGTTTTCCCCTGAAAGAGGAATGTTTCTGTCCCACAGCAAATGGGAAGCAGCAAATTATATGGGAAATTTCCATAAGCAAGAAATGATTTTTAAAAAGATCAAAAGACAATAAAAGTCAGATAAAATTATAATTCAATCTGTTTTTCATGCTTCCATGGCTTTCAGAAGTACAACATATTTCCATGGGAAACAACCATACTGCACACCATGAGTGTTAGTGGATCTCAGTGGGAGCTTTTACAAACTACAACAAACCACACCTTCCGATTTGCCAAAATCACTGAGAAAAAAGACTCTAGAAGTAGAAGGGTCGATAATCCCCCATATATCAGTACTTCCTAGGATTAGATCGTTCAATGTTTTTTATTTAAAATTCATACAATTTTAGTTTTTAAGGGATCTCAAAAGTTATCAAATTGAAACCTCCACTAATCTTCCCTACAAGGGAAGATACTTTATACCTATCATTTCTAACCCTTACAACAATCCTATAAAATGGCAAGTATTCTATTTTAGACATGAGAAAATAGAAAAAGAGAAATAGATTAATTCGTCTTCATAAAGTCACACAGCTATTTAGTCATAAAACTGATATTAAAGCACAGGTCTAAAAATTTGATTCAAAAGTTTATGCTCTTTTCATTATATTGCATCCCTCTACTCAAACTAATTCAATAAAAGATGAGAGCCCTGAATTATTTATTTCATACCTGGCAATGAAGTTGCTAAGAGTATTATTTCACCATCAGGAGAGCAAAGCTTACAAAAAACTACTGAATATCTAGCTTAAGATAAATGCTATGTATTTTGTGCTATTCAACAAACACTGTAATGGTGGAAACTCTTCATCCATAAAACATATTATTGATAAATATTAGGATAAAATTTGCAGTTTTGCTGTTCAGTGTGGCCTGTGACCCTGCAGCATTTGCATCACATTGCAGCTTGTTAGAAACGCAGCCTCTGAAGTCTCCACCTAGAATACGAATTTTAACAAATCCTCGGGTGCTCACGTGCACTTAAGTTTGAGAGGCACTGGTATAAGCATCTTCCATGGTCAGATCCCAGCCAGCACTAAATACCATTCCTGAGTATGCTCTGGCCATCCCAAACTGCTTACTATTTTGAGCACAGGCCAGGCAGCTATTCCACGCTATCCTCCACATGTCTCTTTTTCTTTTCTCTTCCCTCTGCTTGCAGTGTCATCATCTCCCTTTCCCATGCCCATCCACCTGGTATTCCGTACCTCAGCTTAACTTGCTACAACACAAATTAAGAAAAGTTATGTTTTTTTGTTTTTCCTTTGTCTTTATTACCTTTAAAAAATAAACTTTCTTTTCATTTCACTTCACCCATTTCTGCTTTGGGGAGCATATGGATCACAATGAGGTTACCTTTTCCTGACTCCTCTCCAACCTGAACTGTATACAAGTTATGCTACTTTAAAATTTTTATTTGAATAAAACTTCTAATCATTTTCTAGGTATGAGTTTAGCATTCTGCCATCTACCCATCTACTATGAAAGAAGAAGGGTTCTAACATACTGCTTTTGGGAATATAATCTCCTAAACTTCCTATAGTGCCCCAATTTCTTGTTAAAAAAAAAAAGTATGTTCTGTTTTGATAGTTAATAGTGTTTTGGGTCATACACTTCATTAACAGAGCAAATATTGCTGTATTCAATTTTTTAAAATTGCTTTTAAAACTCTTAATGATTAGAAAGTTTCTGTAGTAGTTTTTTGGTTCCTGGCACACTGCTGTAGACTAGCTTAATTTTTTTTTTTAATTTAAAAATGTCTAAAAAGGCCTTTTTTGACTTTTTTACCACACATGGGAAGATTATGCTCTCAGGCATTTGCCCCATGTGTTTTGTTCTGTGTCAGGCCTACTGCAGACAACAATGGGTTCTGTACAGCATGGTTTTATTTACTATATTTCTGAACTAACTCCAGGTACAATCTCAGCTTAATATTTAGAGCATTCCAATCTCTCAATTCTGTCCCCTTAGAACTTTGTTGCTGTGTTTTTTTATTCTTCTGCCATGCCATTTAAAGCCAAGAGATATTCTACAGTTTGACAATTTGGTATCTCCTGTCTGCATGTCATTAATTTCAAATCTTCTGACAAGGGCTTAGTCAGATGCCTGCCTAAATCCAAATAACTTACTTTTATTATTTCACTCCCAGTCAGAATAATACCAACGTAGAATTTTAATCTTTCAGAAATGGAGATCACATCAACCCATTTGCTATATTTCACTGTGCAATATAGAAGCACAGTTTTTTTTTTGTATGCACAATCATATCAAGTTAAATATATCAAATCAGGGAAAATCACTTTTATTACAGGTATCCCATGAAGATACATGAAGGTACTTCAAGCCTATTTAAGAAAATGTTGATTTGATTCTTAAGTCAGTACACTTTGATTTTGGCATTAAATTGTAACATAACACATGATTACCCCTTGCTCGATGGGATTTATTCCTACTGAAAGAAGGGATCCTAAAGAAACAGGGAATTTTCTAAAACCTCTTAAATCCACATATAGAAGCTATCTATAAGTCAAAGCAAAGAACCTTCTACTGAAATGTTTCAGTTTTAAATAACATAGGCCCATGTGGTTATAATCTAAGAGAACTGAAGACATTTCTTTTCATCAGATACTGTGAACTAGCATTCCTCAATGTTGTTTGTGGACCAGTGCCAATGTGCAAAAGTGTGACCCATCTGGGACAGGATATACATAGACTATTAGTACCCAAAAACTTTTATGACAATTTGACAGAGTAATTTTTATGTGTATTGAATTTAATAATGTATAAAACTGAGCTATTTTTGTATGTCTTTTTTCATTTCATTTTTCTAATTAATTTTTTTATATGCTACAAAATTTCTGCAACAGATTAAAAATTAAAAAAACAGAAACAATAAACCCTGGTTCTTCAGCTCAGATAATGTGAGAAGCAGTGAGTTAGACTGTCACTATAATGGCAATAACAGTCAAGATAAAGTTCTTAACTATGTCAGTAGCAGTGAGAATAAAGAGGAGGGTATGATTACAAGTCACGTCAAAAAGGTAGATGCACAAGAACTGATACTACCTCGGGCTAGATGGACCTGCAGGGTAGGAGACAGAGAAAAGTCTATGTCAATTCCCTTTACATTCCAACTTGTATAACTGAAAAGAAGGAATGTCATTCACTGAGATTGAGAATATAGTCTTTCACATTTTCTAATTTTTTTTGAGGCAAGGAAGGAGAACAGGATTATGAGATGGCATTCAGTGTAGGATATATCTGTCAGATAACCAGGTGGAGATGTTTGATTAATAGAGTTAAAGGCCTGATTTTAGGTAGACGTTAAAATCCTGGCTTTTCCACTGACTTCAAACAGGTTACCTTTCTTAGCCTCAATTTCCTCACCTATAAATGTGGGAAACAGTGCTATTTTGTAGAATTGTTAAAAGGATTATGTTACGTGGGTTTAGAGCTCAAGAGAGTGATCTGGGTGGAAGATTCAGGTTTCCGAATCACCTGTGCAGATATGGTCATTAAAACCATGCAGATAAATGAGACTATCGAAAGGGAGACTCAGGGAGGATCAGCATTTAAGAGCTGGGTGGCCAGAGGAAGAAGGTCAGCAAAGGAGAAGAAATGGACCAAAGGTAGGAAAATCAGGAGTGGCATCCCAGAAACCTAAAGCTTTCATAAAGATGAAAGTGGCCAGCATTAAATATTTTAGAAAGGTCAAGTAAAATGAGGCCTAGAGAGACCCTTACATTTGGTAACCAGGGAACCAGTGACTTTAATAGTGAGAGTAGAAGCCTGATTCCAGGGGCCCAAAGAAGAAATGGAAAGTTAACAAAAGAAAACAAGGACTGCAGACTATTCTTTGAAGGTATGTAGTAGTTTATCAAGGAAAAAACATAGGGATAAACTAAAGGAAAATGTGGTATAGACAAAACTTAAATCCTTTTGTTTTTCATTTGTCTGTGTTTAAGATGGGAACAACTTGGGCATGTATTTCTGCAGGAAAGGAACAGTAAAGAAAGACAAAATGTGGAGGTGAAGGAGTAGGGGAGGGAAAATGCTGGCGTAGCATCCAGAGGGACAGGGAGAGTGTACAAGAAAATGATGGGAGCTAGGTGCTCTCCCTCCAAGCCTGGAGGACAGGAGGTAAAGACAGAGAAGAGGCATGTGCATGGGCACAAAACAGCAGAGAGCCTTCATGTTCTCTGTGACAAGTGCAAGCAAAGACATCTGCCCAGAGCTAAAGGCAAGTTGTTGGGAAGGCATAGGGGCTTGAGCAGAATGAGGGACAGGTGCCATAGGAGAGGGCCAAGGAGTGGTGACCCCAAGACAAGCATGACTGAGAAGGTCAGAAACCCCAGTGGAATTTGTCATACCACAAATCTCTAAAAAACATCTTCAGCACTTCTTACCAGCCCAGGTCTAAAAGAAGAGAAGTGTTATGTGTATTTTACCACAATAAAAGTTAAACAAAATGTTTATAAAAGGTAGAGAAAGCAGAGGTAGGAGACAGAGACAGGGTTAAACATATAGGGAGGATGTGGTGAGAAGGCAAATTTACAGTGCATAGAGGCTACCGGCAAGAGAGCAAGTCATCAATTGAGGGATACAATTTAGAAGACAGGACAAAAAGCGAAGCCATGACAAACAACATTAACAGCAACTTGAACTAAAAGAAGCAAACTTCTCACAGACTTTAGAAGGATTAAAGCTTTAAGCTGCCATCACATTTTCTGAGAAAATGTAATAGGATGTACAGCTGTCCCTAGGCATCTGTGGGGGATTCATTCCAGGGCTCCCTGTGAAACCAAAATCCAGAAATGCTCAAGTCCCTTCTACAGAATGCTGTAATATTTGCATCTAATCTTTGCATATCCTCCCACATACTTTAAATCATCTCTAGACTACTTATAATATCCAATCCATTGTAAATGCTATATAAATAGTTGTTATACTGTTATTTTTTAGAGAATAGTAACAAGGAAAAAAGTCTAATATTCTTCTGAGTCCCCTATGACATATTTATATAGAACTATAAGTTCCAAGTATGGGACAGCACTTAAAATATTTTCTAGATAAATTTCCAAAGTGATGACTAAGTATCATATAAAGTAACTATTTCCCTAATGAGAATACTCTTCTATCAAAAAAAATTCTATTTTTTTTAAGTTTAAGCTTAAAAAGAAAGAAAAACACTAGAATTTAGAACAAAAAAAAGGTGATTTTTTTCTGGGTAGGTCCAAATGGACAAAACACTACCCAACCCCCGCTAAACCCATACTCAAAGAAAATCTCTTCCTGTTAATTACAGTGCTCATGAGAAGTTACAAGTTTAGATGTATCTTATCTCACCAGAATCTGAAGGGCAGTCATTAACAGCAAACAAGTTTTGAAGATGTATCTAAGTCGTCCCTTTTCCTGACACCTGTTTGTGTAACACCTCAATGTATAAGCAGTGGCATAAAATATGAACATGTAAAGTCCCGCATGCATTACTACTTTACCCCTAGTATATTGTGCTTTTTCACAACACCTTTAATTTTCTAGTTCAGAGGCCCAAGGTCATGACATTGGAGCAAGATCCAAGTAAGGTCTTTCTTCTGCTGCCCCTCACCCTGACTTTGTCTCCCTTGTGAAGAGAAAAGTAAATGGATGACTGAGGGTGGGAGGCGAGAAGATCAGCGAGCAATGATTCAGTCCATGAGCATACTGGGAGAGACTTCAACTTTCAATATAACAGAGTAATTGGTACCAGATTATCATTCCTCTCATAAACAACTATTAAACTAGACAAAACAATACACCTGTTTGCACATACTAGCTAACAGAGTGTGACCTCTGAGTGAAGGAACAGGTGAGCCCACAATCACTCTGGTTCTCTGGGGACAATTTCCCAACTGTAGTTCAGCAAGCTAGGGTCTAAGCAGAGCAGTGCTGGTGAAGGGGGGCACGTGCAGAGGGGAGTCACAGAAGTTTGCACAAGGTTTTCTGAGAGTCCTTAGCCAATTTAGGACATGAGGTGTAGAAGAAAGTAGCTGCAATAAGGTTAAGACAGAACAGAAATACTAGAGGTCAAGCAGTGCAGGGAAGTAGTGGCAGGTCAACCCAGCCAGAGCAAAGAGAACTCATAACACCCTAGGCATCAGCTTGAAACACTAGAAAGGCCTCAGTGTAGAAGTAAAGGTGACACCCTAGAATAAGACCTACTCTAGATCCATAGTAACAAAGCCTAAAACCAAGCCCTAATAAAATCCACAGGGGAAAAAGTATTTAAGGATGAGTCTCACTAAGTTAGAGGAGCCTGATAAACACCTTAGGCTTTCCACAGATCTGCCTTAAAAATAAGCCTACACAAGGTGATCAGCCAGTAACTAAGCTGTCTACAGAGACAGAGAGAGAAAAATCAACATTTTACAGAGTTTTTTTTAATTCAGCATCTCTACCATGTGCCATTGACACTATTCAATATGTAATAAAAAATTACTAGACATTTAATGAAACAAGAAAATGTGAACCCTAAGTAAACAAAATCATTAGAAAGCAATCTTAAGGTGGTCCAGATATTGCATTGTATTTAGTGAGTCTTTAGAGTAGCCATTATAAATAAAAAAGAATCCCTGAAGAAGACGTGTTTTATTATTTTTCAATTGTATCCCCATCATTAAGCAGGAAGATGTATTTTAAAAAGGAAAAAATGAGAATATGTGAATAGATGAGACTCTCCGTGGGGAAATCAAGACTAAAAAAGAACTAAATGAGAGGGAAAAAAGAAAAATCTAGGAGAAAAAGGTTCAATAAATAAAATGAAAAAGTTACTAAATGGACTTAATGGCAGATTGGAGACAGCAAAAGAAAGAGTCCATAAACTTGACAGATCATTAGAAATTACCAATTTGAAGAACAATGAGACAAAGGATTGAAGAAAAATAAACACAGCATCAGGGATCTGGGGGACAGTATCAGACAGTCTAACATGTATCTAACAGGAGCCACAGAAGGAGTGTGAGAATGCAGCAGAAGAAAATATCTGAAGAAATAATAGTTAAAATATTATTAAGTTTGATGAAAAACACCACTTACCAGATCCAAAATGTTCAGCAAACCCCCAAAAAGATAAATACACACACACACACACACACACACACACACACACACACAAATAATAATGTCTTAAGCACATCATGGTCAAAACTGCTTAAAACTAAAGATAAAAAGAAAACCTTTAAGAGAACCTGGAAACAATGCTACATACAGATGAACAACAGTACATACACTAACTTCTCATGTCAACGGTGGAGGCCTGAAGATGATAGAGCATTTTTAAAGAGTTGGAAGACAAAGAAAATTCTAAACTCAACTTTGCACATACAGTGAAAATATGCTTCAAAATCAAGAGTAAAAGACATTTTCAAATAAATGACAGCTTACAGAATTCATTTAGAACACATTTTCCTCAAGTAGATGTATACTACAAGAAATTTTAAAGGAGGTTCTTCAGGATGAAGGGAACTACTACCAGACGGAAACTCAGATCTTCAGGAAGGAGAGAATACCAGAAATAATACATGTTAAAATAAAAGGTGTACATTCTTTATTCTTCTTATAATTTCCTTAAAAGACTATCTTTAAAAACTGTATGCTTAAAACCAAAAAATAAAAGACAACAAAAGCACAGAGAATACAGAAGTTGAGTAAGAGAAATTAAGCAGAAAGGAAGAAGGGTCAGGTATAGAATGTGAAATGGTACAATACTGACTATACACAGACTTAATGATGCATATTATTAATCCTAGAAGAAACACTGAAAAAGTGATTTTAAAAAGATGCATAGTTAAGAATCCAATAGAGAAAATAAAATGAAATACTAAAATTGCCCACTTAATCCAAAAAAAATGAATAAAGGAGAAACAGATAAACAAAAACAAAAGGAACAAATGAAAACAGTGGCAACATGGTAGACTTAAACCTGACCTATGCATTAACTGTAAATGGATTAAACATTGTAACAGAGACTGTCACAATGGGGACAAAACAGCAAGAAACAACTATATACACTGTCTGTAAGAGATGCATTTTAAATTTAGACACAAATAGATTAACAAAGAAGAATATTTTATGATGATAAAAGGAGAAATTCAGCAGGATATCAATCTTAAATATGTATACCTAATAACAGTGTTTCAAAAAGAAGTTTTTTATGAAGAATAGAACAAACAAAAACATCCACAACCATATCCTTTCTCTTCATAACTGATAGAACAAGTAGACAACAAATAAGTAAGGTCACGGAAGATCGGAACAATACTATTAACTAATTTGACCTGACATTCACAGAATATAAAATCAAACAACTGCAGAAATACATATGAAACATTCACCAAGATGGAATAAAGCAAAATAAAATAAAATAAATCACAATCAACTTCAAAAGACTGAAATATGCTTTTTAGAGACTTTGTTCTCTAAACACAATGGAAACAATTAAAAAATCAATTAGTAAATTAGGTAAACAATCCCTAGATATTTGGAAAATAAAAACAAAAGACTTTAAGTAATCCATAAGTCAAAGAAGAAACCACAAGGAATATATAAAATATTTGAAATAAATAATAATAAAAACATAATATATCAAAATTCAAGAAAATTTATTGCTTTAAATGCCTATATTGGGAAAAGGTTTAAAAATAACGACATTTCCACCCTAAGAACCTAGAAAAGAATACCAAATTAAACCTAAGTAGAAAAAATAATAAAAAAAAAACAGGGCAAAAATCAACAAAATAGAAACCAGATAAACAACTGAAAAATAATGCAAAAAATGCTGCTAGAGGGCAGGAAAGTAGTGTGGACGGCTCTAACTCATATTCTCCTAGAAACTGGCCCAAAAATCCACACATACCATTGTCCTGGTGCATCTCCAAAACCAATTTTTCACTTCTCAAAAGTCTAGTTAGGTAATTTAAAGGGACAAATCAGAACTGGGTCACAGGCTAGAGACAGAGATCTTTTAACAAGCCCAGCCGTCTTACATCTGTCCCTCTTTCAAGACTATCTGGCAAACACAAAATTATTTAGCCAGTAATAATACCAGTTATGCCCAAATTTAGAAAAATACAGTATGTTCTCCCTCTCCTTTCAAGTAAAAAGCTAGGGAAATTTTCTTTGTAAATCCAAATATTTAAAATGAACTACAGAACTGCTATTTAAAGGAAACTTCTTATGAGCTCATCAAAAGTTAAAAAAAAAAAAAGCAAGCATTCTTAAGCAAAAAACTACTTAACATTCATTTTTGTATTTGGATTTCTGTATTTCTTTCTTAAAAAGGGAAACTCCTTTTAAGTGTCCACTTAAATTTTAACTGAGTTTTTCTGGATAGGAAAAAAAGCCCTCATTTTGAAGTATCTGATTTAAAATTCTTACTTCATTTGAGGTAATCACAATTCTGAGGCTCATTTTGCATAAATATAACCATTCTGCAGTTGTTCAGGTCACAGCTATGTGAAACAAATCTCCACAGCTAGGATCTTTGTTCTAAATCTAAGAGACCCAGTGGCCCTGTATATAAACAAACTAAATTGGTCCTCAGCTCTCAGCCATGCTTCCACAAATCCCTAAAGCACATACAACCACGCACAGTGCCTGCTCTGCCTCTGAACAGCATGTGAGACCATACACATGTTACAAACATCTTGGTTTCTCTCAAGCATGCATGGCAGCTATAGCCACTTCACTTTGTCCCCTTATCCCATCCTCTTCTCTGCAGCCCATAGGCTTTTTTTCTCCCTCTTTATTTATTATACCGGTCCAATGTAATCTTTTCAAATTCCTAGTTTCTTTCACCTTTAAAAAAACCAATCCAACTATTATTGGAACAAATGTCTTACTCTGACCAATTTTCCTACTCTCCCTAAAAGAGTACGCCATACATAGTAAGATGTACAAATGTTCTCTTAAGACAAAAAGGTTATAAGAACTGCAATAAAGAAATCCTTAAATGGGCCCTGAAAAAAATAACCCAGAAGACTTCCACAAATATTATTATATTCACTTTCCCCCCAGGGTAAGTCCCTGGACAATCAAAGAAAAACAACTTGATTTATAGTAAACGACACTATCTAATAATCATTCTAAAAGTAATCCTGCCAACTTGGGGGATTATCCAGTACAGGCTTGCTTCTTGGTAGCCACTGTACATAGAGTTTTGTTTATAATTAGACTGTGTAGTGTTAATTATGCTGGTTGCCCTGCCAGTATCCTACAGAGGCTACAGGAGGAGATCAAAACAATCATTCCAGAATTATGAGTCACTTCACTCTCTCCCCACTACACACCACTGGCAGCCCCTCAACCCTGGAAAAAGGAAATTATGCACACTATTTGCCTATACAGTCTTTCACATTTAGGATGAAATATTGAGTTCCAAAACCTGCTCTACATTTACTTTTCTAGAATAACGGATACATTTCAATCCTGGTAACTTTTTGCTGTTCAAGAATTAGAAGTTGAGGATAGAAGGTTTAGGAAACTCTCAAGGCCCGGTTTATGCTGTAGAAAAAAAGAATTTCTGCATAAGTAAACTGCAATTATAAATTTTGCTCCAAATATGAATAATTCCTCCAAGGAGAGGTTCATAACCTCATTCATCTTTGTATTCCTGGTGCCTAGCAGGGAAGAAACCTGCCATAAATGTTGAAATGAAAGTAGCAATAATCTAATATATTAAAATGAAGTATAAACAAAAATTACCTCCATGTCCATGCATAAACTCTTCAAGGGCTGAATCCAGGTTTACTGGAGGCTTGGAATAAGATAAAATTCATACACTGTCTATAAGGTTAACAAGGTCCTTCTAATACCTGCTGTGGGGCTGGATCTTAAATCAGGAGGACTTAGTAGTATTTCAGTGACTATGGGATCTGAGTCACTGCCTTTCAGTTCTACTAGACACTGATTCTTGAGAACTACTTTTTATATACTTACTACTTTTCCTCTTCTTTCCTCAAAGCTGGTTGATAATTCAAGTCAATTATGGTTTAGAAGACATAAAATATAGTGAAGACGCCAGGCACAGTGGTTCATACCTGTAATCTCAGCACTTTGGGAGGCTGAGGCAGGAGGATCACTTGAGGCCAAGAGTTTAAGACCACTCTGGACAACACAGTGAGACCCAGCTTCTACCAAAAAAAAAAAATAATAATAATAGCCAGGCTACAAATTGTAGCTGTCATCCAGTACGTTGAGTTTTACTGTGTAAATGCAGTATAGTACATGAACATGGCCTTTAGAGACACTTAATTCTTAGGGATGTTTTGGGAGCAGTTATAGTGTTTTTATATCAAGGCAGCCATTTGACAAATGTCTTAGAAGTCAGATGACTTAAAATGTAAAATCTGTGTGTCAAAATCTCTGTGAAACAGATAATATCTAAAGTTCCACTATACCTGAGGGTTCTCCACGGACATTGTTCCAGCTGACCCTAAAAGACGTCAAGAGGCCAGAGTTGTTGCTTACGTAAGTGATTTGGTATTTTTGGTGTTAAAGGCAAAACAAGGTTTCTGGACTTTTCATATTTTAAGAATTTACCTACTAATGTGTGCTGTGAATGACAATGAAACATCATTTTTAAGGCATGAGGGGGAAATTATGCTAATGAATCTTAAAGAGAAAGACTAGTGTGCTTTGCTGAAAAGTTAAAGACACGTTTATTGTCTTATGATTTTGAAGCTTCTAACCTAATTATTTAATATAATAGCAATGAGCTCTTTATTAATAAAGCACTTCATAGTTTGAAAAGTGTTGTGACCCACTTATCTTATTTGACTCCTACAATAATATAAGTAGACAGGGCAGTTATTATCCACATTTTACCTTTGAGAAAACTGAGGTTCCGACATATACTAAGTGGTAAAGCCAGGACTCCATCACTGGTAGGGCCAGGTTTCTCTTCACTACACACACACACACACACACACACACACACACACACACACACACAAATATATGTAAGACAGAGTCTCACTCTGTGACCCAGGTTGGAGTGCAATGGCACAATTATAGCTCACTGCAACTTCAAACTCCCAGGCTCAAGCAATCCTCCCACCTCATCCTCCTGACTAGGTGGGACTACAGGCATGTGCCACCATATTAAGCTAATTTTTAAAAAAATTTTTGTAGAGATAGGGTCTCACTATGTTGCCCAGGCTGGTATTAAACTCCTCGTCTCATGCAATCCTCCCACTTCTGCCTCCCAAAGTGCTTGAATTACAGGTGTGAGCCACCACACTTGGCCTCCATCACTTTCAAATTCTCTACTGCGTTATATTTATGAAGTCTAATCGCAGCTGTGCAGTTCTATAGTCCTATAAGCAAAAAATCAACATTACAGTGCTAAAGAAAAGAAGCAGAAAAGATGAGCCACTTCTGGTTTAATTTTGCACATTGTTTTAAATATCTATCCAGGAGAACATTTTAGTTGAAAAGGAGAAATTCCACTAGAGAATGCCAATGACCAAGGACAATTGCAAACAGAAACAAAAACCGTAGCACATAAAGAATCCTGCTGTGAAAAAGATCAAGGACAGGACCAAATAAATAACTATAATATAATACAAATCTTAATCATAAAATCTAAAACCTAAAAAAATTTAATGAGGAAGAAGTCATTGCCTTCAGTAAAAGAAGAAAAATGACTATCACAACAAACAAGGTAGAAATTCTTTTAACCCATGTTGACTTAACAAACCTCCAAATTAACCAATGTCTTCCATTCTCTCTGTAAGACATTTTCAGATGCTAAGTGCTCAATGAATGCCCACAACTAAAGGGCTACTCTCCAGAAGGTCCAAGCACATATGCTCTCACCAGAGGCACTCTACTCTAAGAATTAGTTGTTTGTTCTCAAGCTGATTTATGTTAGTTAAACTTGTAATTATGGTTTTATAATAATTAAATATTGTGTCATTAAATGAAAAATATAAAAATTGTTTTTATGAAAACTGAGTTATGTATCAGAAAGATCCTACAAAAATGAGTCCTCAAAATAACACTGCTGCCAAATTAGGTATGCGCAAGAAAAACCTAATACCTTGGGGTTGGGGGTTGGGGTTGGGAGGCAGAATTCTAGGATTTTTGCACCCAGTCTTCAAAATGCCTGCATTCTCAATCTACTTTTTTTTTTTAAGGACCTGGAAATTACAGATGAATGAAAGGCAACACATATCCACATGTAAAAAGAAAGATGAAGAACTCTAATTAGTGGACCCAAATGCAAAATGAAAGCTTTGGTCACTAAGACAATGTTAGCTACAGACAACCTACTACTGTACTATCGAATGCTAGATCTTACTCCTTCTAACTTTATTTTCATACCCATTAACAATAATTTACTGTACAGTGCAAAATAGATAGAAGAATTGGAATGTTCCCAACATAAAGAAAAGATAAATGTTTGAGGTGATGGATATTCCAACTGCCCTGATTTGATCATTACACACTGTATGCATGTATCAAAATGTCACATCAATTCTAAAAATATGTATAACTATTATGTATCAACAAAAAACTGCAACACCAGAAAAACAAGAAAATATTAGCAACTAAGTTTATACATTTTGATTTGTAAATGAAATGCTAAAGAAATATATTTTTCTTAATGGTTGCTATTTCAAATTAGCTTTCAGAAATTTCCCTTTCACATGATCTCAAACATAATGAATTCAGCTCTGCAACATTATACTCACTAATAAGTTTAAACCAGAGAATTCTTAAAATCATGCCTCGTCAATACATATCAAAAGTCCAAAATACTTATTTGACCAAGTAACTTCATAGTAGGATTTTTTCCTTGGAGTAAGTGCCAGAGATATACATATAAGAATGTTTACAGCAGTATAGTTTACATAGCAAAAAAAGAGAAAAACCTAAAACAACAAGGGATAGGTATATTCATACTGAATAAGATATTATGCAGACAAAAAATTATTTATACCTATTTTAAACATAGAAAAGTATTCAAAATATAAAGAGAGAAAAGCAGGTTATAAACATTTAAATAAATATCCAGTTGGATACACTGAAAATAAGAAGGTTAACTGGTCATTTCTGAGAGGTGGAGTTGTCGGTATGTTGGGTATTTATATTATCTATATTTTATTTTTATATTAAAAAATAGAAATAAACCTCTCAAACATGTACAGATCATGTTTTCATCTGCCAAGATCTTAATAAATTAACAAAAAACTATCAATGCTATTAGGATGTTTTAGAATTGATCCACGACAGTGAAATCAGGAGACAAGGATATCACGATACAATCTGCTATTAAAAGTCAGACACAGAAAGACAAATACCACATGATCTCACTCAAATGTAGAATCTTAAAAAAAAAAAAAAGTTGATATCAATCATAGAAGAGCAGAGAGTAGAACAGTAGTTACCAAAGACTGGGGAGGGGACAAGGGAGAAGATGGGGAGAGGTTGGTCAAAGGATAAAAAGTTACAATTAGATAAGTGGAAGAGATTCTGGTGTTCTATTGCACAGCAGGGTGACTGTGTTTAACAGTAAAATATTGCATATTACAAAATGGCTAGAATAGAAACTTTTGAATGTTCTCACTGCAAGCAAATGATAAATGCATGGGTGATCAATATACTACCTTACTGGATCATTATATAGCACAGATATGTATCAAAACATGGAATTATACCCCATAAATATGTACAATTATAATGTGTCAATTTAAAAAATTAATAAACAAAACATTCTTTTTTAAAAAGGAATTTGCTATTAATCTCCAATTATTAGGTGAAGTTTCTATCGCCACTGAATCCAGCCTTGTAACTTGCTTTAATCAATGGAATGCAGCAGAAATGACACTGTGGAATGTCCAATCCTAGGCTTTAAGAGGCCTTGTAGCTTTCAACATTTATCTTTTACTACTGGAGAGCCCCATGAGAAGAAATCTAAGCTAGGCTCCCTGGGGACGAGGAACCACATGGAAAGCCAAACCCAGTCAAAAGCCATCATCAACTGGCAGATATGAGTGAAACTATCTTAGACCATCCGGCTCCAAGTCAAGCTGCCAGATGATGACTGCTACAAGAGTGACCTCATGCAAGATCAGCAGAGGAAACACCCGGCAGAATATAATCCAAACTGTTGACCTAAAAAATCATGAGCAAAGAAAATGGTTGTTGCCTTAAGCCATTAAGTTTTATGATGTGCCATGCAGTAATAGAGGATCATTTCATTCATAAATTGATCACTACACTATTATCACAATTAATGTTTTGGTATACTATTCTTAGACTAATTTATCCCCTAAGACAAAATTGAAATTATATGCTACATACTAGTTTTATGATTCTGTGGCATCTTTGAAATGGGAACACATGCAGTGTCTCATGATTACTTCAAATTTCAACTCAGAAACATAAGGAGAGAATGAAACACTTGGTATTCAGAACATTTTGTATTCTTTATATAAAAACTCCTCCCTCTGTGCAGCTGTGAGCTTTTTCTCTTAAGCCCAAAGGCCTTGTTGTACGTGACTTCATAGGAAGCTCTGCCTGGGGTCCTAGCACGGGACCAGGTTAGACACTGAAAAAGTAAAACCAAGTTCATCATCGTCACTACCACCACTGACAATGTTGATAAAAGCCAACATTCACTGAGGGCAAATCATATGCTAATACCCAGCTAAGCAATAAAGAGACGGCACAGCAGAGTAATTAAGAATATCTCTGGAAGTTGGTCCCAGTGCAGTGGTATTTACAACTAATGGATCACAACCAGTTACAGGCTTATTTGTTCCTTCTCCACCCTCATTGCTTCACTTGACTAGCCTGAAAAAAAAAAAAAAAGAATAAAGAAAAGAAAAAGAAAAAAGGGTATCTCTGGAACCAGACTGCTCTGCCACTTCCTGTGTAGCCTTAAGCAAGTTACTTCATCTTTCCAAGCTCAGTTTGCTCATTTATAAGATGGGGATAATAATATTATCTATCTCATTGAGTTATACGAATTAAATGATATGTAAAAGCATTTAGAACACAGTCTAGCACACAGTGTGTACTCAAAAAATTATCAGCTGTCTATATTAATTAGCATTTTACACACATTAGTTAACATTTAATCCTCACATTTTACAGCTGAAGTGAGAAACAAAGAGGTTTAAGAACTTGCTATTAAGTAGCAGAGCCAAGTTCCAAACCCACCATTTTTTTGACTGCAGTACGTATACCCCTTTAACACCCTTTTAGACTTTGGGTATAAGTCCAGGAATGTCAAATCAAGTCCCTAGTTCCAACTAAACGCTTCATGTCTACATAGCCTCTGGAGAAGGCTGGGGGGTCACAGAGCCACCTCTACATCACAACTAAAGAGTTGCATGGAGGTTTAGGATAGTACCACAAATTCTAGAGATAAACACAACTCCAACAATTATAGAAATGTGTAGAAACACATTGACACTGTGGTTTCTACAACTCTCTCAGCCAGGTACTTAGTAGGTATTCAAAAAAGGTTGGCTGATGTCTCAACTAAATTTACTGTATTACTACTTCATCATGGGCAGTAAACCAGGCTTTCCCCTCTCCCCTTTCTCTCATTAAAATTATGAAATTATCCAAATACAGTTAGTCTGTATCTACAGGTTCCAGATCTATAGACTGAATGGCAGATTTAAAAAAATTGAAAAAATCAAAAATAATAATATAATACAGTATAATTTACATAGTATTTACATTGTATTATGTTTTGTAAGTAATCTAAAGATAATTTAAAGTAAATGGGATGATTCGTGTAAACTGGTTATATGCAAATATACAGGGATTGAATATTGGTGGATTTTGGTAGGGGGGAGGGGATCCTGGAACCAATCCTCAGAGGATACTGAGGGATGAACGTACAGCACAGTGCCCATGCTGCTGACACTTTGTTTTGCTATTTTTAAAAACCAGAAGCTTTTTTAAAAAATAGCTATTGCTATTTTAAAAAACTGTAAGCTTTTTAAAGAGAATCTCTAATCCTATTACATTTATAAAAAAAACAATTAGCTTCTGTCCAAAGATACTCAGCTAGTTAGTAAAAATGACAGGAACCAAGCAGATTTCTTTTTTTAATTTTTAAATTTTAACTTCTCTAGAGGAAGATAGAAGTGAAACAATAAGTGAGTTTAACCCACAGAACTGCTCAGCTAAGTTTAGTTCTACCCAAATTCTGTCTGGTGATTTTGAAAATAACCGCTTTCCCATACTTACAGGAAATGGTTAAGCAACCTCAGAAAGTCATTTGTTTTTGCATGGTAGACAGTTTTTTTTTGTTTTGTTTTTGAAAGGTGAATCCTTTTCAAATAATAGGAGAAGCATTCATCAACTGAAGCAAGTCTACAACATGGTACAAGTTATTACTTTATTCTAGATATTCTTTTTCCTTTACAGGAACAAAAAGAACACAATATTTAAATGAACTTTCACATTTATAATAAAATGAATTCTCAAAACTTTAAGACCAAACCAGAACAACAAAAATCATTAGAGAACAGATAAGCTGATGGTTGAAGACCAAGCAACATGGTTTCATCTTGGTCTCAAAAAAGAGACCAGACATGATTATGGAAAAAAAAAACATATTTTTTGAGAAATTTCTCATGTTATACAGTATAGTAGATAGTTTCAGAAAAAAACTACTCTCTTTTTTTCACTATAGCACTATTTGATTCTTAGAACAGTAAAACATGGTATTTGAGATGAGAGACTGTATAATTTCTAATAGAAAAGTTTTCTGCCTAGGTGATAAAACTACTAATTTTTAAAATTTGGTTTTTGGTGCAAATAATTCTAACATATTTTACTATTTTCCCGTCTTCTTACAAACACTAGTCTGAAGAGATTTATGGTCATCATAAAAGGAAAAGTCACTGACTACACTATACTTGTTGGGACACAGAACTGTATCCTGGCTGAAAAGGTAGAGAATGAAACCCGCCAACCCACACCCTAGAATGTGACCAATTTGCCTAAAATGCATTTCAATTAACAACTAAAGATTTAAAGCAATTCATATTGCATGTGTTGCTTTAAGTTTTAGATTTCTACATTGAACCAAGTTTTGCTGCAGTTAGTTACTCCAGCTACGTTTCAGTGGACTTGTTAGCGTAACTGAAGTTCAATTTTAATTATGATTCATATATTAGTCAGTAAACATTTCTTCTACTTAAAAATATTTATTTAATAAAGTCAATTGTAAAGTCTGAATTAAGATAAATTTTGGCCAGGCACGGTGGCTCACGCCTGTAATCTCAGCACTTTGGGAGGCCAAGGCAGGTGGATCACCTGAGGTCAGGAGTTCGAGACCAGCCTGGCCAACATGGTGAAACCCCATCTCTACTAAAAAACAAAAATTAGCCAGGTGTGGTGGTACATGCCTGTAATCCCAGCTACTCGGGAGGCTGAGGCAAGAGAATCACTTGAACCCAGGAGGCAGAGGTTGTGGTGAGCCAAGATCACACCATTGCACTCCAGCCTGGGCAAAAGAGTGAGACTTGGTCTCAAAAAAAAAAAAAAAAAAAAAAAGATAAATTTTAAAAGTAGTTGGCTGAATTTAAAATGTGTTGAAATATACATGTGAATATTATTTAGTACTATTACTCACATTAGAGCCATGAATAAGACTTATAATTTGAAATGCACAAGAAATTTTCATAATCAAAAATTTTAGATCTTCCCAAGTTTAGAAAATCCTCAGATACTCAACTTTGGTCAGATATGGAGAATTAGCTATAGAGGATGGATTTAGCTAAATCAAATTTTAAAAGTCTAAAACTAAAATCATATTAAATCAATCATATCTACTAAAATGTCACTTAAGTCTTCAAAAGTTGTTTTAAAAATCACCATCTAATATAAATGGCTAAAAGCTTCATAAAAAGTAAAAAATAAGGAAGATTTCAGCAAATTATTAAATTAGATAAACATAATTACATTGATATTTAGGTAAACTGACCAAGGATCACATTTTGGTGATCATGAGCCATGTCAAAATAATCCCATTCCTATCTCTTCCTCAACTCTACCCACAAAAGACTACAACAAAATACAGAGGTAGTTATATTAACTATAAATTAATTAAAATTTCAGAGTAAAATCAGCCTTACAGAAACTATTCTGGGACGTATTATTTGTTCCAACATTACTTCTACATACAGCAGCCACTTGTCTACTTCATCAGCTCAACATATTAATCATTACTCTCCACATCCTCTGTAAATAAGATTAACTGGTATGGTCAACAGACTAATCCTCCCCCAGCCCCCAAAATGTCCATGTCCTAATCCCTAGGGACACGGTTACAGACCTTGAGATGGAAAGATTATCCAGGACGGCCCAATACAATCACAGGGGTCCTTAAAAGGCAGAAGAGGTTGGGAGGCCAAGGCAAGCGGATCATGAAGTCAAGAGATCAAGACCATCCTGGCCAACATGGTGAAACCTCGTCTCTATTAAAAATACAAAAATTAGCTGGGCATGGTGGCCGGTGCCTGTAATCCCTACTCGGAAGGCTGAGGCAGGAGAATCGCTTGAACCTAGGAGGCAGATATTGCAGTGAGCCGAGATCGTGCCAGTGAACTCCAGCCTGGTGACAGAGTGAGACTCCGTCTCAAAAAAAAAAAAAAAAAAAAAAAAGCAAAAGAGGCTATCAGAGTGAAATAATGAAAAAGGACATGACTTACCTTTGGTAGCTTTGAAGATGAAGGAGCAGGGCCAGGAGCCAAGGAATGTGGACGACCTCCAAAAGCCAAAAAAGTGCAGGAAATGGATCCTGCCCAGAGCCTACAGAAAGGAACACACAGCCCTGCCAACTCCTTCGTTTTAGCCCAATGAGATCCGTATCAGGCTTCTGACCTGCCAATAACTTTAAGATAAATTTGTACTATATTGCTTAAGTTTGTGGTAATTTGTTATGGTGGCAATAGAAAACTAATACAACTAGTCCCCACAACATGCCTGACATTCATGGCTGTACGGCTCCACTTCTGTACTTAGTGGAGTTAGGAGCTTGCCCAAGTTCAGCTGTGGCATTTCGAGTTATGCTTGGTATAGCTATTAGGTAATTCAATTAACTTGCAAAATAGATGAAGAAAGCAATTCTGAGAAGATCAGCTGAAATCACTGGAAAAACTCAAAAAGGCAAGCCACTAAAATTGTTGTTGAATTAGGTAGGAGACAACTCTAAAAGACTGGGGAAAAAAATTGAAAGTCTAGACAAATTTTGCACTCGGACCGCTTCACAGGTGTCCACATTTTCATTTCACTTTATAATAGGTTATAGGGTCAAAAACTTGCTGAAGCAAAACACACAGGGGTGAGTTTCTGTTTTAATATTGTTCCATTTCCTTTCTCTACTTTGCCCTGAAGGCAGGCTTTGGTCACAGAGTGGTGTGGAAATGCCAACAGGTAAAATTCCAATGAGTCCCATATTTCTATCCAGAGAAACCAGAAGTAGACCCTGTAGGCTATACAGCATGGGGGAAATCCCAGAGGGGAGAGAATCAGAAAAGAGGATCCCTTAAATCTGTGCATGAACCTGCAAAAGTTACAGAATAATCACTGAGCTACATATGTGCAGAACAGACTCAAACCAATATAGCAAAGTCTATTAGTTTCTATTGCTGCTATAACAAATTAACCTCAAGCTTGACGGCTTAAAACAACACAAATTATCTTAAGATTCTGGAGGTCAGAAGTCTACAATGGGTCTCACTGGGCTAAAATCAAGATAGCAACAGTGCTGTATTCCTTCTGGAAGTTCTGGAGAGAATCCGTTTCTTTCTGTTTTTCAGCTTCTAGAAACTGCTTACATTCCTTAGCTTGGGCCCCCCTCCCATCATCAAAGCCACAAGTGCAGGCTGAATCTTTCTCACACTTTGTCACTCTGATACTGACTCTTCTGCCTCACTTTCTCACTTTTAAAAACCTTATGACTACACTGGGCCTAACTAGATAATCCAGGATAACCTCTTTATTTTAAGGTCAGCTGATTAGCAACCGCAACTCTAATTGCAACCTAACTCCTCTTCATTATGTAACCTAAAATATTACCAAGGCTTCAGGGATTAGGAAATGGACATCTTTGGAGACCATTATTCTGCCTACCATACAAAGGCTAGGAGAACTAAACTAACATTGGAGCCACTGGCCACAGATGGTGAAACAGAACTAAGGTCTGAACCTGAGCAGGGTGATCGCCAGCCAAAACAAAAATATCAACATTCTTCAGAGGATAAAAGAGTCTACACAATATAACACCCATAATGTCCAGGATGCAAGCCACAACTACTTGAAATACAAAGGACCAAGAAAATGTAAACAATCCTCAATGGAAAACGCAATCACCAGATGATGGAATTATTGAATACTTTAAAGCGGTTATTATAATTATGCTCCACGAGGTAAAGAAGAACATATTGAAATAAACAAGAAAGTAAAAATTCTCAGCAGAGAAATAGAAACTATAAAAAGTACCAAAATAAAATTTTTAAACAGACAACAAAAATTCTTAAAAGAAAAATTCACTGAATGGCCTGAAGAGCAGAATGGTGATGACAAAGAAAAAAAAGTCAGTGAACTTAAAGATTAACAGAAATGATTCAATTTGAGGAACACAGAGAAAAGAAAGATTGAGGAAAAAATAAACAGCGCCTCAAGGACATGTAGGGCAATATCAAAAGGACTAAAACATATGCAGTCGGAGTCCCAGAATGACTGGAGAAAAATATTGGGGCAGAAAAATTATCTGAAGAAACAATCACCTCAAACTTCACAAATACGGTAAAAGACATCAATGTACCAATTCAAAAAGGAATAAACTCATAGAAAACCAAGACACAAAATGCTGCAAACCAAAAGTAAAGAAATACTCAAAATCAGCTAGGAAAAAAATTCAATATATTACATACAGGGTAACAATTCACATTACCATGGATTTCTTTGAGATGGAGTCTCACGCAGTCGCCCAGGCTGGAGTGAAGTGGCATAATTTCTGCTCACTGCAACCTCCGCCTCCAGGGCTCAAGTGATTCTCCTGCCTCAGCCTCTGGAGTTGGTGCGACTACAGGCGTGCGCCACTACACGTGGCTAATTTTTTGTATTTTTGGCAGAGACAGGGTTTCACCATGTTGGCCAGGCTGGTACCATGGATTTCTTAATAAAAAAAACTCTGGAAACTAGAAAATGATAGAGCAACATCTTTAGTGTTTTTATATAGAGAGAACTATTAGATACATTTGTGTAATATATTTATGTATATATCTTTGTATAAGCCTGTATTCAGAATATTTGAAGTATTCTTACCACTCACTAAGATGACAAATAATCCAATGTAAAGGAATGGGCAAAAGATTTAAACATTTAAACAGCCATTTCACAAAAGGTGAACTAATGGCCAAAAAACCCACTTCTCCTTGTCCCTACACAAAGATAGTCAACATCAGAAGTCATCAGGGAAATGCAAATAAAAACCCAAGTAACCACATCTACTGGATTGGCTAAAATTAAAAAGATTATTTTACTAAATTAATCAGCATTGTCATATACCACTGATGGAAATGTGAAATGGCACAAACAGTTTGAAAGATAGTTTAGCAGTTTCTTAAAAAGTTAAAACTTACAGTACCAGATGACCCAGCCAATCGACTTATGGGAATTTACCCCAGAGAAACAAAACTGAATGTCTATACAAAGACTTATACTAGAGTGTTCATAGCAGCTTTATTTGTAATAGCCCCAAGCTGAAAACAAATGTCCATCAATTGGTGAATTAGTGAATAAACAATTATGGTAGATCTGTACAGTGGAATACTATTCACCAATTTTTTTCTTTTTCTTTTTTGAGATGGAGTCTCACTCTGTTGCCCAGCCAGGCTGGAGTGCAGTGGCACAATCTCGGCTCACTACAACCTCTGCCTCCTGGGTTCAAGTGATTCTCCTGACTCAGCCTCCCAAGTAGCTGGGACTACAGGCGTGCATCACCACATCCAGCTAATTTTTGTATTTTTAGTAGAGATGGGCTATCGCCTTGTTGGCCAGGCTGGTCTCGAACAACTGGCCTCAAGTGATCTGCCCACCTTGGCCTCCCAAAGTGCTGGGTTTACAGGCATGAGCCACCGCGTCCAGCCCTATTCACCAATTTTTAAAAAAGAAACCAGTATGCTGAGTCAAAGAAGTCAGGCCAAAAAAGAGCACTGTATGATTCCATTTACATAAAATTATATAAAATCTATATAATTCAATTTATATACAATTCTAGAAAACATAAACTTACCTATAATATCAGAAAGCATATCAGTGGTTGCCAAAATATGGGTATGAAAAGAGGGATAGAAGGGTCATTTTTTGTTTTGCTTTAAGTTTTAAAAACATAATTGCAGGCCGGGCGCGGTGGCTCACGCCTGTAATCCCAGCACTTTGGGAGGCCGAGGCAGGCGGATCACGAGGTCAGGAGATGGAGACCATCCTGGCTAACACGGTGAAACCCCGTCTCTACTAAAAATACAAAAAATTAGCCGGGCGTGGTGGCAGGCGCCGGTAGTCCCAGCTACTCCGGAGGCCGAGGCAGGAGAATGGCATGAACCCAGGAGGCGGAGCTTGCAGTGAGCCGAGATCGTGCCACTGCACTCCAGCCTGGGCGACAGAGCAAGACTCTGTCTCAAAAAAAAAAAAAAAAAAAAAAAAAAAATATATATATATATATATATATATGTGTATATATATATGTATATATATATGTATATATATGTGTATATATGTATATATGTGTATATATGTATATATGTGTATATATGTATATATGTGTATATATGTATATATGTATATATGTATATATATATATAGAGAGAGAGAGAGAGAGAGACTTGCAAGAATGAGAAGAATGAGGAATATGCAACACTTCAGCACTCTGATTTTAATTATACAAAGGCCAAATCTGAGAAGCTTATTCATTTGAACAATTATTGCACATTCTCATATGCTGGATTCCAGGTCTTTGCTCCACAAATTCTGTCCACTCACACAAAGGAACCATACAAGGTCTTCTGTATAAAAGTATTTCTGACACTTAACTATAAACATCAGCAGAGTGAAGGGCTAAATTTCTATAATGTCAGTAAGTATTTCAAGGTATTTTGAATGAATGGGTTAGAATGGGTAGGTATATCATCTACTTTCATATTAATAGAATTCTAGCTCAGGCCAGCTGACCTTATAATTACATTTCAGGATGTACATGTTTACATCTGATCACAGATTACCATATGTCTTATTTTAGAAGGAAAGAAAAGGAAGATAGTTTTAGGGTTGTTATTGATAACTTCAACTTGGAACTTTATAGTCTCAATTATCTCTATTTTAGCATGCCATAACCCAATACTAATGTCTACAGAGAACCTTGAGATCACTGACAATGCTGCTGTGGACAGATTAATACAGAGTATACACTAGCAACCATTTTATTTATTCTGCAATGTACCTAGTAATCAAAGGCTTGGTGAGCAATCCTTAACCTCAAGGATAAAAGCAAGCACAAACTGACGAACACCGGTTAGAAACTGCTATGGGTTCAGAATCAAAAATAACCTTTGCATTATGCCAACACAAACATTTCTTATATTAACCTCTATCAACACATCTGGAGTAAAAAACAAAACTTGAATTAGTATACATAAACTAAGACATAGATTTGTTTGCTTCTTAGAAATTAATATTTTAATTGAAAAAGAAAATACCAAGATACAAATGGACAAGAGAAAACTTTCAGATGAAAAGCCAAGATAACACATGAAAATCCTAGAAATGAGAGAACCACACATTTTTATATATGGCAACATATTATTTGGCCACATATTATGTTCATATAAGGGAAGCCAACATGCAGGGAGTGAATGTCCTTTTGTACGTCATTGTATTCTACGGCATAAACAGGACTTTAAATGGCCTCAGGGATGTCTGGGTTTCTGAGAAACGTGGGAGAAGGAGGGTAGAGGTAGCAATTATTAATGGAAAAAGAATTAGTAACTCAGTTTTAAGCAAGTCTTAGGTGCTAATCAAACTCCTCTATTAAATTTGCTCTAAGAAAAGGACACAATAAAAGACTCCAACCATTTTGTGATTATACCTGTCTCTGTGTCTATACCTTACTTTCACACTAACAAAATGCTAATCAGGAATGCGAGGGTCAAGCTCTCTTTCATAAAACCCGGTATGTGTGAACACCTGGATGAAAATCAGTGTGTAGCTTACAGGAAGTACCTTCCTTTCCCTACTGCCAGCCAAATGGAAATTACATTATAGCAAGCCAATAGATTAACCATCTGTTCCAGGTATAGTCAAACCCCACGGGCTGGTCCCAGGCTGACCTGGTTAGGCCCGGGGCAAAGCTTGAGAAAGCAGATCAATCCTAGTCATTCCTGGCCCCAGAAAGCCCAGAAAAAGAGGGCTGATTCTAGTCCTCTTAAAGGTCTAGATCATTCTATGGCAGGGCAGGTATGAAACAAAGGGTTTTGTATCATCTGGGATTCCTGGGTCCAGAGATCAAGAAAAGTAGGAGAAAAAAAAAGTAAATGAACTTAGCCAAGTAGGCCTTTAATTTATGAAAACTAAGATTAGTCTAAGAGATCATGAAAGGGCTGAGAAATTAAATGATGTGTCTCTATTATGTTTTCGTTGAGGGGCTGGGGTGTTGGGAAAGGGGCAGCTTGTTGAAAACCCTTTGGATATAAACAAAAAAAATGGGGATAAAAATAAATGATTTTTAAAGGCAATAGTTTAAGAAAAATCTGTCTCTCTCTACTTTAGCACCATCTAGGGCTGAAATAAATGACGGTAGAATCCGCACATAACCAAGGCATCTGATAATGTGGCCAGTCAAATATGCCTGGCCAGAACATTCCCCTCCTGTGACCTAGATCTATCTTAAGAAACTTGCTGCCCAATTCCAACAGCTCCACTTTCTACCTTCTGTGGACTCCTAAACTATTCCTCTCCAGTTCCTGAAAAACGCAAGATTAATGTTCTCAAGATGTGATATGGGTACACCTAGAAATCCCTGATACCCTTGCAGGAGGCCTTCAGAGTCAAAACTATTTCATCATAATATGTTATATGCCATTTTCACTCCACTTCTCTCATGAGTGTACAGCAGAGTTTTCCACAGGCTACATGACTTGTGCTATTACAACTGACTGAATGCAGAAGCAAATCTGAAAATCCAGTTGTATTCTATTAAGCCAAACATCAAAAAGATTTGCAAAAATGAAAAATAATGCATCTCACTAATCCTTTTGTTTTGGAAAATAATAATTCTCTTTTTTTTAAATTTTATTTAATATGTAAAAGGTGTTTATTGTTATTAAATAAATATTTTTAAAATGTTAGTGTTAATTTTTAAATATCTAGAGAAATAACTCATACAAACAAAAGCTCTTAGGGGTCCTCGATAAAAAAAATTTTAAGAGTGTAAAGGAGATTCTAAAACCAAAATGTTTGAGAAGCATAACTCTGCCTTCGAAGATAAACTACTCCCAAACTCTCCAGACATCTTGATCCAAACATGCAAGTTTAGTATACTAAAAGCATATAGAGTAAATACACAAAGTAAATAAATACAGAAAGTCTGAATTGCTTCAGTGCAGGACAAAAATGGGACAAGGGGTTTTTTGGATCATCCTGAATTACTGTGTCCAGAAAAAAAAAAATTGAACTTAACTATAGATGCTTCTTTTAACATCCTCAGGCAGGAATGTAAACTCCAAAAACTTATTCCTGTGGAAAAGTAATTTTCTTTATCCTGAGGTTCACAGAAAGAAACTGTCTAAAGTGAAGACTCCTATGATACAGTTGTATCCCCCATCCCGCCCCCGACACCCTGCAAATTCACATATTAAAGCACTAACCCCCCGCCAGGTGCGGTGGCTCACGCCTGTAATCCCAGCACTTTGGGAGGCCGAGGCGGGTGGATCACGAGGTCAGGAGATCGAGACCATCCTGGCTAACACAGTGAAACCCCGTCTCTACTAAAAAATACAAAAAATTAGCCAGGCGTGGTGTGGGCGCCTGTGGTCCCAGCTACTTGGGAGGCTGAGGCAGGAGAATGGCGTGAACCCGGGAGGCGGAGCTTGCAGTGAGCTGAGATCGCGCCACTGCACTCCAGCCTGGGTGGCAGAGCAAGACTCTGTCCCCCGCGCCCCCCGCCAAAAAAAGAAAAAAAGCACTAACCCCCATTGTGATTGCATTTGGAGACAGGGCTTTTAAGATGGTAATTAAGGTTAAATTCGGTCATAAGGGTAGAGCCCTAATCCAATAGGATTGGTGTCCTTGATAGAAAGAAACAGCAAAGCTCGCTCTCTCCACATATGCACAGAACAAAGACCATGTGAGGACACAGCAAGAAGGTAGCATTCTGCAAGTGAGAAAGAGAGCCCTCACCAGAAACTAACTATGGTGGCCCCTTGATCTTGGACTAGTAGCCTCCAGAACTGTAAGTAAATAAATATCTGTTGTCGAAGCCACCCAGTCTGTATTACTTCATTCTAACAGCCAGAGCAGACTACTACACTGCCTATACTATGTTCCCATATAATTACTCTATAAATATACTAAGGAGTAGGGAGAAATGGAGATTTTAAGCGGGAAGGAAGTAGTGAATCAACGTATTCATAGTACCGCACACAATAATTTAAGTTGTGTGGCCATTAATGAGTTGTTTAGGTTTGTTTTCCTCAAAATGTCATTTGATTTTTAACCTTTGATTAACATCAGTACAGAAACATCCACTTTTTTCCCTCCTGGATAGTGTCAGGTCTAAAATTCATGCTTTCATACCTCAGCTCATACTGCAACTAATTCATAACACTAGTTATTAATATTTTGTTACGTCAACTAATAGAGAGTCCTGCCTTTCAGTGGCTTTGCCCAGTTGACAACCATGACACAGCTTAACCTTTACTCTTCCCATAAGGCTACATGAAAGCTTGTGGGACCCATTCATTGCCTTCTCACCAACTCTATGGTATATTAGGAAATTCCTTTTTAAAAGTTGAATTTAATTGGCTTGGGAATTGTTTTTGTGGCTCTCTAATGAAGAGCAAAGTGCCCCAATATAGGTCAGCCAGAAGTCCTTGCAGCACTGTAGGAAGAGAAATTGATTTAATTGCACCACTTAGGTCTCAAACGCACAGCAGCTCTCTAGCTATGAAATAAGAAGATGAAAGAAGAAAGGAGGTAAATGTTGGTTCACTCTTTAATGTTGATTTTGAAAATGCTTCAGAGTAAGAGACTCCTTCCCTCCACATCATCTTCCTTTCCCTCTAACACTGAGAGGGTTTCCTATTTAGCACTGTCTTCTCTGTACAAAGCATAGGGTTTGAAATACTCCAAGTACTCAATAAATTCATTTCAGTGGAAAGGGAAGCTGAATGAACACTAATAAGAATGTTCCAAAAAATGATTTGGAATTACTCTATTTGCTATGGAAAAGTTTACAGAAAAAGGAAAGGTGAGGGGGAGGATGGAAAAGGAAAGGAGGGAGGGAGGGAAGGAGGACGGAAGGATAGACAGACTGACTGACCTCTAATTTAAGAGTCCAAACAAAACTGTTAAATGTTTGTTTTGGAGTTGTTTGGAGTAATATTACTCTCAGATAACATTTATTAAGCATCTAATATGTGTGCAACAAAACACTATGTTAGACGCCAACCATTGTAGCAAATATAAAAGAACTGTGTTTTTGTCTGCTATATGTAATTAATGTTTTTCGGCTGAACAAATAGAACCTATTTGTATGAATAATGAGGTGCTGCATATTGCATTTTCTTGAAGGCACCATGAAAGCATACCTGGGCCAGAATTAAGTTGGATGTAGGAATGTACAGTTCCTCTACTCTTTAGGCTAGTGGCTCCCAACCTTTTTGGAACCAGGGACTGGTTTTGTGGAAGACAATTTTTCCACAGACAGGGGTGTGGCGGAAGTGACAGAGGCAAGAGCATGAAGGGATGATGGTTTTGGGATGAAACTGTAACACCTCAGATCATCAGGCATTAGATTCTCATAAGAAGCATGCAACCTAGATCCCTCCCCAGTGCAGTTCACAATAGGGTTCATGCTCCTATGGGACTCTAATACCACCCTGATCTGACAGGAGAGGCGCCCAGGCGGTAACGCTCACTTGCCCACTGCTCACCTCCTGCTGTGAAGCCCAGTTCCTAGCATGGTCCTTGACATGCAAATTGGGGACCCATGCTTTAGGCAACACTTCCATGAAAGTGTTGCAAATTCAAAATTGTTAATAAATATGAAATGGAAAGAATCCTCCTATAATGGCCTCAAGCCCTTAGTAAAGAATTAGGATCCAAGAAACACCATTAGTTCCCAGCTTTTCAAAACCTCACTAAGGCTGGAATATGCTCAAACCACCACTTATCTTAGACCACTGCTAATTTCAAAAAAGTTTTAAGTTTTGAATGTACATTTTAGGTTTTTAACTAAAGATATTAAGATATTCTGGTAATATCCTTAAGAATCAGAGAGCTAGTGAATAAAGAGCCAGGATTTGAATATGGCTGTCTGAACTTTTCACTTCACTATTATACTATACTATACAGTAGTCAACAAAATAAGGTAGATTTATAAATAGATCTCCAAAATGGAAAAAAAGAAAAAAAGCTACAAAACCAAATGTATCTCCAGTAAAAGGTGTGGGACTGGACCTATAATTCTCAAAGTATGATGGTTTTTGGAGAGGATGCTAGTCTGTATGTTCATATTAATAATCTTTTCGAGAAACAATTCCACAAGAATGTAAGCTCCTCAAAATCAGGGACCATGCTACGTTAATATTTGTAAATTTAAGAACAAAGCTTAGAACAAGGTAGCATACAGTAAAGGAATATTTTAATGCATTTAATGTATCTATTTGGGAGGGCATCTTTTTGAAAATAGAATAGTTTTTTAAAAAGATACACGGGCACAAGTCAAAAGCAAAACAAATAAAAATACTTATTAATGGGAGCAGTTTAAAACAGAATGCAAGAAGAATCTGGGCTGGGCGTGGTGGCTCACGCCTGTAATCCCAACACTTTGGGAGGCCGAGAAAGGCAGATCACCTGAGGTCAGGAGTTCGAGACCTGCCAGGCCAATAGGGTGTAACCCTGTCTCCACTAAAAATATAAAAATTAGCCGGGCATGGTGGTGCATGCCTGTAATCCCAGCTACTCGGGAGGCTGAGGCAGGAGAATCACTGGAACCCGGGAGGTAGAGGTTGCAGTGAGCCGAGATCGTGCCACTGCACTCCAGCCTGGGAGACAGAGCAAGACTCCATCTCAAAAAAAAAAAAAAAGAGAAATTTGTATTAAAATGTTTACACTATGCTTCTTCCCGGATCACCACTGCCCCTTCCCCAATAAAAGAAGAATGAAGCATGGTGACCTGAAAAATGATTTATGCTTTGCTATATTTTCTGTCTAGGTGATAAAAATAAGAGATGAAGAACAAATTACTAAAGTAATGTGAAAAGGAAAAAATTCAAAAAGAGAAAAATGGAAAATCAGAAAAATAGAAAAATTAGGTAGATTTGAATCCTATTATTCTCTGGTTTCAGTAAAATAGAATTAAACCCAAAGCACTCATCTCCCAAGATTTTTTTTGTACATTATATTCTCTCTATATGTAATATTTCTGTATTTAGTTTTCTGGTTGCTATCTGCAGTGGAATATACAACTAATATAAAATATTTATAATAATGTACAAAGTTGTAATAATAACCACGGAGTTCTACTGAACAATTAGGCATTCAAAAACATTGTCAATGCCACAGAGAGTGAAACACATTGTCGATTCTACAGAGGAAGTCCTGTAGTTAAAAATCTGTCTAAAGGACATCTCAAAAGCATCAAATTACCAAGTACAATACAATACTCCATGAACTAAAAAACAGACAAATAGCACGGGAATAAATACTGAGAGCATTTGGTTGCTTTATCCTTGTATTAATCATATGACCATGCCTAAAATTCACATAAAGATACGCTCTTTTAGTCACTTAAAAGACAGCCAATAACCCTGTTGAGGGAAAAATCAAATTATTTTAGCTCCAATTTTCAATTTTCTTTTTCTTTTCCTAGGTTAAATTATTTACATTTATATTTATACAAACTTGTCCCCCCAATCAAATTAACAAAAAATCTTTATATTCCATAGTATTTCTTAAATCTTTCCTCACAATATAGGGTGCCAGTCTTTAACAATGCTTAGGGCCCCTGTTAGATTTAGCAATATAAAGTAATTTACATTGTCAATGATGCCTAAATATTTATGCTTATTAATCTCTCAAGCAAATCTGCATAGCTGCAAATACTTTCACAAGATCTAAAGATAAAAAGTTTACTTTTAAATTCCATCAATTCGCTATACTATAGTCTTAAAAGAACATCTTAACCTATAATTCCTTATTTAAAATGAAAAATTACATTAGACATAATGAGTATCTGTGAGTTATTTAACAAAGAATGCATATCACTGAATGGGATCTGCAAAGGAAATTTATAAGAACTCTTCAATGTATACAGAAAACTTGTGAGTTAAACAAGAAATCTCAGTTGGTGAATACATTTATTTGCCAGATCTCAGAAGGATCTGAACAAAAAATTACCTTGCAGATAATTTTTTGTAATACTTTTCCATGTGACTCATTGGATTGATAAAACACCAGGTATACGACAGTCTTCAGTCTTTATAGTAACAACTTTGTCATCAATTTACAACTGACTGAGGGCCAGTTTGCTTATCATTAACCAACTTAAAAAATTAGTTATGGATTAGTCAAAAGGCTGGGATAGTAACTACATTTTTTCTACTAATAGTCATTGTCATTCGATGATGTGCCAAGACAAGATTCTATGCATAAATTCTTCAAGTCTTTATCGCAATAATATTTCCTGAATTGGTAATTAATTAAAACAGAATTATGCCCAACTGCAGTGAACAACTGGACTGGAACAAAGCTAGCCACACTTTAGTGAACATGTGCTTATTTCCATCTAATTCAACATGCTCTATTATCTAATCCCCAAGTCACACTAGACCCTCTTTTCTATATTCAATTATTTTTCTGTGTGCTTCCTACAAGTGGAATGCTACCAAGCCTCTCAGTATCCTGTACTGATGCAGATGGAAGTGAGGCTGCTGCTTTAAAGAGCAATGCATTTCTTATTCCCACTAATACCCAATACTCTATTGTTCAGTTTGAGTTATCTTCATAATGTAGCTACCCAATCTAGATACTAAGGCGCTGAGCCTCCAGTTTAAAAAACAGAGAAACTACTAATAAGAGGGGGCCAGCCCAAACTCCTGCAGGTGATCTTGATAAATGTGGACACACTAGCTCCTCTCACCAAGACTCAAGTGTCATGGCAGCCTCCCTTATTTCATCATTGAGGCCCTTCCGACAATTATAGGACAAGCAGACACCAGACATGTATTACATTCTTTCTGTCTTCAAAGCACTTTACCAATACCAACTTAAAAAGATATTTAAACATCTCCTTTTGATTGAGCTCTCAAGATTGAGTTCTCCTCATCATTCCCACTAATCTCTATAAATTTTTCCTCTAAAGAGGATCTTGGAATGATTTTGTAAACCAAAAATAAAATTCTAGGCCCCTCAACTGACCGAATGGACCCCTCTGACTGAACGGCCAAGGGCATTCCAAAGTAAACATGAAAAACTAGCTCAGGCTATGATGGGAAGCGGGGGTCAGACGCACCTCATTATACTCTCCTCCCTTTGGAATTCTGGCACAACTGACCAGCATTAATATTAAAACAGAGATCTTAAGACTGACGAAACACTCTTTGTAGCAATAAAATACCAAATTCTAAACTGACTCTAGTATAACATCACACAACAGATAGCAGGCTGTGAAAGAAATAAAGGTATTTTACCCCAAAATATATTTCTTAGACCTATTTTGAAATGGCCCTGCAAAGCTGTCTCTTGTGTGGAACATTCTATAGAAAAAGACCTTTCTGATCTCTTTTTTTTTTTTTTTTTTTGAGATAGGGTCTCACTCTCTTGCCCAGGCTGCAGTGCAGTGGCATGACCACAGCTCACTTCCACTTTGCCCAGGCTCAAGTGATCCTTTCACCTCAGCCTCTCAAGCAGCTGGGACCACAGGTGCATACCATCACACCTGACTAATTTTTTTTTTTAATTTTTAATTTTTTTGTAGAGACAGGCTCTCACTATGTTGCCCAGGCTGGTCTTGAACTGCTGGCCTCAAGCAATCTTCCTGCCTTGGCCTCCCAAAGTGCTAGGATTACAGGTGTGAGCCACTGCACCACCCCAGGTCTTTTTTTGATCCAGGAGAGATTTAACTAAGAGTCTGGCACATTTTACGTTCTGATAAGAGATAATAACCATCTATTCTCTGAAAGCCTGCTACCTGGAGGCTTCGTCTACATATTAAGAACCCTGGTCTCCATGACCCCTTACCTTATCTTAACCCAGACACTCCTTTCTATGGATTCCAGGTCTTTAGATAATAACTTAATTATTTCGACCAACTGCCAATCAGAAAATCTTTGAATGTGGCCACATGTGTGGCTCATGCCTGTAATCCCAGCACTTTGGGAGGCTGAGGTGGGTGATGACTTGAGGCCAGGAGTTCAAGACCACCCTGGGCAATATGGCGAAATCTCATCTCTACTGAAAAAACACAAAAATTAGCTGGGTGTGGTGGCAACATGCCTATAATCCCAGCTACTCAGGAGGCTGAGGCACAAGAATTGCTTGAACCTGGGCGGCGGAGTTTGCAGTGAGCTGAGATTGCACCACTGCACTCCAGTCTGGGTGACAGAATGAGACTCTGTCTCAAAAAAAAAAAAAAAAAAAAAAAAAAGCAAAAATAAGAAAAACAAAAAAGAAAATCTTTGAATCCACCTATGAACTGGAATAGAAGTCCCCGCTTTGAGTTATCCCCTTTCCAGACTGAGCCAATGTACACTTTACATGTATTGATTGTTGTCTGCCTATAACTTCTGTCTCCCTAAAATGTATAACATCAAGCTGTAACCCAACCATGTTGGGCACATGTTCTCAGGACTTCTTGAGACTGTGCTTTGGGCCTTGGTCACACATTATTTATCTCAGAATAAGCCTCTTTAAAGATTTTACAGTTTGACTCTTTTCATTGACAATGAAATGTTTCATTGACAATGTAATGATGTTTCATTGATGAATATACTAACAACTGTTTTAAATTTGACAAAATAACAGTTTCAGCTGTGAGAAATACTATGGCTTAAGCCTCCTTCCTTACCAGAAATTTTCTCTATGGCACTGAATGACACCTGAGTCAGTTGTCCGGGAAATGCTCCCACATAGCACTGTTCATCACTTGCTGCAAGAGGAAGGGAGCACACCCAACCCATAGAGGCATCCTTTTCTCACTGCACTCCTCATTCTTCTGTTCCCTCAGTTGAAGAAGCCTTCTTTAACTTCCTTCACCCCAGATCATTGGCTGGAGAAGACTCTGAGCCCCACAATCCAGAGAAATTCAGACAACTGATTCAAGTTCTGGTTCAGTGACTACATTTTTGAAATATGTGGAATGCCCAGGAGTACCTTCATTAAGCAATATGTATTAGAAGAAAAAGAATTTCAAAAAGTCTCCTACAATTGAACTTGATCCTCCATTGTTTTTTGAAACTCCCTTGGAAGCTTGAATTTTCCTTATTTGGCAAATGACCTGGTTTCCTCCTCATTTACATGTTAAGGATGGAATTTTAAAAAAATTAATTGGTTCATTGTTCTATCACAAGCACCAGTAGAAAAGTGAAGCAAAGCCAGGCTATAAAGAATAGTAGGCTGGCCACAGGGCCGCACTGGCTCACACCTATAGTACCAGCACTTGGGGAGGTCAAGACAGGCAGAACATTGGAGCCCAGGAGTTCGAGACCAGCCTGGCCAACATGGCAAAACTCCATCTCTACAAAAAATACAAAAATTAGCCAGGCATGGTGGTGTGCACCTGTGGTCCCAGTTACTCGGGAGGCTGAGGCAGGAGAATCGCTTGAGCCTGAGAAGTCAAGGCTGCAGTGCTGTGGCCGTGCCACTGCACTCCAGCCAAGCAAGACCCTGTTCCCGTCCCTCCCAAAAAAAGGAACAGCAAATGACTGCTACCATGGTAGTCCCAAAAGGTAGATAGCTCTCTATAGTTTTCTTTTTTTTTTTTTTAAACAACTGGTAATCATTTATTAAAATAGTTGACTTAAGCATCTGCAATGGTGACTTCAACCTCAACTCCTGGCTCAATAATGATGGAAGTAATCTGCTTAACAATCTCAGAAAGACTGTGGAAGTCAATGAGTCACTTATGGATTCTCATCTGGAAACAATACCATGTCTCAGAACCTTCATAAGAAGTTTTTCTTGTAATGTTTCTCAAAGTCTTGGTAGGCATTCAAACTGGTCCTATCACTTTAGATTCTTTTCCTTTGATCCATTGATCAAGTCGGCACACACCTTCTCCAAGGATTTTACCTTGCAGCTCGTTAGAGTGATTCTTTTTATTTATTTATTTTTTTATTATACTTTAAGTTCTAGGGTACATGTGCACAACGTGCAGGTTTGTTACATATGTATACATGTGCTATGTTGGTGTGCTGCACCAATTAAGTCGTCATTTACACTAGGTATATCTCCTAATGCTATCCCTCCCCCCTCCCCCGACTCCATGACAGGCCCCAGTGTGTGGTGTTCCCCACCCTGTGTCCAAGTGTTCTCGTATTTTTTTTTTTTTTTTTTTGAGATGGAGTCTCGCTCTGTCACCAGGCTGGAATGCAGTGGCACGATCTCGGCTCACTGCAACCTCCGCCTCCTGGGTCCAAGTGATTCTTGTGCCTCAGCCTCCCGAGTAGCTGGGATTTCAGGCACGTGCCAACATACTCAGCTAATTTTTGTATTTTTAGTAGAGACAGGGTTTCACCATGTTGGCCAGGCTGGCCTCAAACTCCTGACCTCAGGTGATCCGCCTGCCTCAGCCTCCCAAAGTGCTGGGAGTATAGGTGTGAGCCACCGCGCTGGGCCTAGAGTGATTCTAATTCAGTGAATTGCCACCTCTGGCTTCATGGGCGTTTTTCTGTATCTCCTGACCAACCTGTTTTTTGGTGAGAGCGAGCGGCGGTGAGTCAGGAGCAAGAGCAGGCTTACCACAGCTCCACACCACGTTGTTTATCAAAGAGCTATATTTTTTCTTTAAATCTAAAACATTCAGACAAGTGAACAGTCCCAACTTACGAGTGACTGAATTTTCTGACTATAAAAAAGACAGTATGCTTAAATTTCTGGCAAATGTTTTCTATCTCTTGGCAAGGCTCCCAAATGCCAATCTTAACTCATTTGTCCCCTGAGCCCCCAATTCCATTAATCCAACCAGACCTACCTACCTGTCCCCTTCCAACCTAGACTCTGTCTTCAACCTCATACAACAGTGTCCTGCTCTCCAACTGAAGCTCATTTCTGAACCAAAGACTTGCAAGGATCAAGGCATGACCATTTTTAAAATCTCTGCCTATCAGCTTCTTCCTTTACCCCCAATCTCCACATTTCTTTCATCTTCATCATTGATTCTCCTCTTCCAATTTTCTCTAAACATCTTTGTAAAATGCAAAGTCCTTCAGGTGCTGCTAGGACAATCACAAATGAATTACAACAATGGATAAGGTTACAAGGGAATCCTGTCCACCCTTCCATGGACACAGAGAACTCTTGATGTTCCATTTACTGTCCAGAAACACCAAGGCAATAAGCAACACTCTCTATAACGGCCATATGTAGATCTAGGTCAAGATCTAGATATAAAAAGAACTGTACCACCACAAGGGCTCCAAAATGTCCCTTCATTCTCAATCCTGGCTTCTTGCAAACTTTCAGAAAAGTTGCTGAAATTTATCTACGGATTCAAATTAAAAAAATAATAATAAATAAATAAATAAAAGACTGTGTCTTTCTGGTTGCTCCAATTATACTATGGAAAGGCCTAGTAGTATCAGCTCAACTCCAGCCCCCTACAGTAGGTTTGCCCAACCCCAAGGCCACAGACCAGTACCAGTCTCTGGCCTGTTAGGAATCAGGCCACACAGCAGGAGTGAGCAGCAGGCAAACAAGTGAAGCTTCATCTCTACAGTCAGTCCCCATCGTTAGCATTACCACCTGAGCTCCACCTCCTGTCAGATCAGTGGTGGCATTAGATTCTCATAGGAGCACGAACCCTATTGTGAACTGCGCATGTGAGGGATCTAGGTTGTGTGCTCCTTTTGAGAATTTAATGCCTGATCTGTCACTGTCTCCCACCACTCCTAGATGGGACTGTCTACTTGCAGGAAAACAAGCTCAGGGCTCCCACTGATTCTACATTATGGTGAGTTGTATAATTATTTCATTGTATATTACAATGCAATAATAATAGAAATAAAGTGCACAATAAATATAATGCACTTGAGTCATCCCCAAACCTTCTCCCCTTTAGAATATATCACAAACTAGAAAGTATACATACATCCCCCCGACTGTGGTCCCTGGTCCCGAAAAGTTTGGGGACTGCTGCCCTACAGTTTTCAAGTCATGAGGTGACTAATTGACAAAACATAGCTGCACTGACCTCACCTCGACTGCCAAGAACCACAGGCCTCATCTAGGTCCATCCCAACATCTGGGGTAATCTTGGCTAAACTCTTTCAAATCTCAATTTCCTAATGTTTTCATAGACAGGGTTAATACTGCTGTTTCCTAATAGGAGTATTACACTAAATTAGTAGACATGCAAACAGTTATGAACAGTTTCTGTACATTTATTTCATAATTAGAATACTGTCTTAGACAAAACTTTATTGCTTTTTTATTTCTTCTGTGTTTCCATATTTCATATTAGCATGACAACAAAACTAGGTTCTTCTATTCATTTCTCTTATTTAGGTAAGCATTATCTGATGACGAGGTTGTGGGTTTTTTTTTTTTAATGTAACTGTGTCTAGCAGAAAATCTACTTGTAAATGGGCATTCAAAAGATAGCTGTATGATTGAATTACTGAGCAGAAAATTACCACTTATTTTCTATATAATTTCCTTATAACCAATCTCTCTGGTTATCTATCTTTCAGGCTGAGTTCTCAAGGATAACCTACAGATAAATGATAATCACCGGTTATAAGAGTTTCTAAAATATGCTGTTTTTATGCATGTATCAAGACAGTTTTTGGAAACTGGCAAGTAATAGCAAAGAACTTTTCTACCACTAGTTTCCAGTTAAAAACTGGGCTGTTTCTAGCTATAGCTTTAACCCTAGATTGTTAGTGATGCTAACACTTAATTCCTAACAGTCTTATTTCCCCCAAATAAAATTAAAAACTTAAGACAGAAAGATAAAAACAGGATTTAACTTATATTCCATCACACAGAGAAACTATGAGCTCCTATTTCTTAAGAGTTGTCTTTCAATGTGGAAATTTATCATAGAGCAAAAGAAAAATAAAAACAAAATGTGGTATGCTCACATTTTTGAGAAGTGATGCTAAAAATTTTTTTTTAAAAAGACTCACATATCTATAGAACAATTGTTATTTGTAAGATTAAAAGATGGAATCACAATTTTATACTGTATTACAACCCACAAATATCTCATTTGTTGCCCAGACTTCCCATTTTTGAAGTTGAAAAATACTTTCAACTGGATACCAATCTGAACATGAAAGCAAAAATAATTTTTTAAGACAACTAAGTCCTCCTTGTTTGATTATGCACCACACTGCGGTAATAAAAGTGATTCATAGGACCTACATTCATATGAAAAAAAAAACTATTTATGTTTTCAGTTCTGGGACCTCAAAATGCCAAAATACCAACCTTTAGATATACTTTAGAATATATCACAAACTAGAAAGTATATATACTTTCAGCTGGGCGCGGTGGCTCATGCCTGTAATCCCAGTACTTTGGGAGGCTAAGGTGAGCGGATCACTTGAGGTCAGGAGTTCACCTGGCCAACATGGTGAAACCTCATTTCTACTAGAAATACAAAAATTATTTGGGCATGGTGGCGGGCGCCTGTAATCCCAGCTACTCGGGAGGCTGAGGCAGGAGGATCACTTGAACCCGGGAGGCAGAGGTTGCAGTGAGCTGAGATTGTGCCACTGCACTCCAGCCTGGGCAACAGAGTGAGACTGTGTCTCAAAAAAAAAAAAAAAGAAAGTATACATACTTTCTAGTATGTATTTCATATATAATCAGACCTCCTTAATCAGATTCTGAGGGTGAACCTTAGCATTTGCATTTCTTAAGATGAATTTAAGTTTTTACAAAATATACCAACCCTGCATGCAAATGAAGACAAAAATCTGGATAAACATCAAAGAATTATTTAATCTAATATCTCTAACCAAAAAAGCAGATAGTTGCCTTCAATTTTTTTTTTTTTTTGTAATATACAAATCACTATTACTTAACAGTTTTACCTCTACCTGCCTAATAAGACATAATCATTATTGCCAAAACAATCTTAAGTACTGGTCCAGCACATCTCTCTTCATAAAAAAAGCCACCAAAGATCCAAACCCAGACCAGATGTCCAGACTTCAACATAATAGCAATCCCTCCCAAGGACAAAGCCAAAAATAGATCCTGAGCTAAATGGGAATTCCTAGCACTAAGATCCATCCTTATAAGCCCTTTCCAGGGATATGCATTTTAAATGGGTTGCAGAAGTATGTTACCTGAACAGGTTAACATAGGATATTCATCAAATGAACCAATTATCAACAGGTAGAGAGCAGGGCCCAACAAAAATAGGTCATACCAGTGGCAACTTTGGACAGAAAACAGGGAAACTACAAAAAAAACGTACTGGAATAGATGAGTATTGAAGGCTAGAGTGACAAGATATAAGCTAAATTCACTTCCTTTACAAATGCATAGGTCAGTAGATGGAACCACTGACAAGATTTTAACTAAAAGATATGTGGTCCTAAATTACTGAAACTGTTTTTTGTTAAGCTCATACACCTCTCTACATATATAGGGATACATGAAAAAGTGTAAGTGGGAAAGATTCCATTAAAAGAGGATGAACGTGTAACAAAATCCAATACCAGGCTTGATAAATCTTGCAATCATAAATTCTATGGATAATGAAATACTCTGCATCATCACACCCAGACCAATGGGAGCATTATACATGCATTATTTTTTGTACTCAAAAGGATGAAGTATATAACTGTCTACTGTACCATGTCATTTGAAAACACTAGAAAATTCTACAGCAATCCTTCAAAAGTTTTCAAATAAATACCCTGTCCATCTTAAACCTGAAAAGCACTTCAAATTGCTAACATTTAATTTCTTATTGACTGTAGATATTGTCGTTTCTGTTTTCCTTGTAAAAGGATGCTAAATAAGGCTCCAAGGAGTGATTGCTACATTAACCAAAATTATGCACTGCCAAGCTGTCTCCAGCATCAACTCTGAAAGATAGGAAAGAATCAGAAATCCAATTTCCTACATGAAAGTTGAAGCATTGCTTCTTTTTTTGTTCTCTTCTGTGGGATTTTTCCATTGTCCTCCCAAATGTGACAGTTTGCAAATACCCACATCTAGAAGCAATCTAGAAGCATATTCTATAAGAGAAAAGACACCAATTTTAAAACTTGAGAAAGTACTTTAATTCTGTAGGCAAAGGTTCAGCAAATCAGCTAGCACTAATCTTGACCAAATGGGTGAGTCAGCCTCATCACAGAGATTTTTTTTTTAATTTAGATGAAATTTCACATTTAAAAACATGGTAACTCCAAGCATTCTTCCAAAAACAAAGAATGAACATTGGAATAGTCACTTACAAGGACTTAACGACTTGTATTAAACATATTTTACACTAAAGTACTAGATGGTCTCTAGTTCATTTTAGCTCAAACCTTCCTTAATTCTTCGAGTAACTTCACCAGACTATTCTTTAAGTCTTAGTAATTACAAATAGAACCTGAATGAGAAAGAAAATTCAGAATTAAAGTTGTTATCAGTAAGCCTAATTAAACAGTGCAGACAGAAAGATGGCAGTAGAATAAAGCATTCTACATTAGGAATAGGGAGAATATAATCAGTAGTTCACAGCCCCATGAATGAAGCACAGCATACAACAAAGTCTGGCTGGGATTTGGGATAAAGTGGACAATATCTGTCTGCTCTTGAGTGGTAACTAACAAACTAAACAGGGATATAGACTGTGGCCCCTATTAATGTGATACTGTACCTGAAGTAACCAACCACACTCAGCAAAACATGTCAACCAGAGACTGAATCCTCTTTTAGTGAGTCGTCTCCCTTACTGGCAGTTTTCCTACTTTCTATCTTAAAAGGGAATCCACACACTCAACACCGCAAAACGGTAAGACATCTCACCCCTATATTGTGGCTCTGGCACTTCTGGTCCGCACAAAAGCCATGGTTCTAACTAGGGTGGGATTTATGCTCCCCGTTCAGTGAAGGGCTGTGGCTGTTTGCAGGGTGCAGGCTCCCTGCGTTGACTCTCGCTTCCTGTCACACAGTGGTATCACCACCGTGACGGACCCTTGACATTAACAAGTCTTTGACTGAAAAACTGATGTGATCTGCAGCCAGTGAGGGGATGCGTGGTGGCCCTGCCGAGTACCTCGGCAGGGTCAGGAGGGTGGCACTGTGGCCAGGCACCTCCGCGGCACCGAGCGAGGTGAGCAAGCCTTTCCTGAAGTTTCCCTTCCTTCCACAACATTAACCTGCCAAGCCTCCCACCCCCACCCCGCCCTATTAGGAAAAGTCACGCCGGCAGCTCACTGAAGGGCAGGGGGACAGCTCCTGGCGCCCCACAAAAGTTGGGCTCGGCAGCTGCCACAACTTAACGCTCCTACAGGAGAGTCGGGCCGACACCGCCTCCTCCGGGGGCAAACCTGAGCTGCCAACTTTCCCACTGCCCACTCCTCTGCGCACAGCAGCCCAAACTTTGCTGTTTGCCCACCGGCCGCACCCCGGGCGAGCGGCGGCGGCGCTGACCTTCAAGCCAGCCCCGGGTCCCGCACTGGCCGCCGCCCGCCCCCCGAACCTCCCTGCCTCCCCCAGATCCCCTCTCCCTGCCTCCCTCAGCCCTCGTGGGAAGCCCGCGGTGTTGGGGGAGACGGCTGCAGCCCGACCCCGCGTGTCACGACTGCCCACGACCCTCAGGGCTCCGGAGAGCCCGGGTCCCGGCGCCTCGGCAGCCCACTCACCATTGGTGAAGGGCTCCATTTTCCCCCCGCCGCGGCTCCTTACAGCCGGAGCGCCCGAGCTTCCTACTCCGAGAGCTGAGGCGGCCCAGCTGACTGAGCATGCCCAGCGCGGCCTCCAAGGGCTGCCAGGGAGGTGCCGCGAGGGGCGGCGCCGCTCCGCCGTTCCGGGTTTTCGTGGCAGCTGCAGAAAGAGCGAGGGAAGCAAGAGGGAAAAGCACAGTCAAACCCCCTGCTGCTCCGTGGACAGGCGAGGTGGGAGCGGGTTCGCGCTGGGGGCGGGGCCTAGGCGGGGCCGGGAAAGCCCAGCCCCTACCTGAAGTGGACCCGGCTGCGGCGCTCTCCCCGGCCGGGAACGGTGTTCAGTCACTCAACAAATGTGGAGCCCTACTGCGACCCGCCCGATCCCGGACGCCGAGACACCCGCACTGCGCCAGAAAATCATGGTCCCAGTCCCAGGAGCGGACATTCCAGAAACAGACCATAAATAAACACAGAAGACACACGAGTGTAAAGTCAGTGCCCCGCTGCGAATTAAATCGGGGTGATGTGATGGCGAGTGAGTGGGTAGTTAATTCGGATGGCTTGGTTAGACGAGGCCTCGCTGAGCAGGTGCCACTGAAGCCGAAGTCTGAAGGCAGAGCAGGAACCTGCGGGCGAAGGTCGCTATCTGAACCGCGAATCGCTGGTTTCCCTGGGGAGGTTGGCCGCGGAGGGATCACTGCTCGAAGGACCGAGGGAGCGGGCGCTGTAGGTGTTTTCGGCAGAGATGCCCGCCCGCATCAGAGTGCCTCAGGAGGGCGGTGAGGAGGAGACGGAAGAGAGGGCGGGGACCTCGCAGGGCCGAGGGCGCCCTGGGGTCCAGTCCCGGGGCTGGCGGCTGCCTTGCGGCCTCTAGGTGCGGGCGGATAACAAAACCCGGCGCCGGATCGCCCGGCCCGGGTCGCGGGCGCCGCAGGATGTGGGCAGAAGGCCCGCCTGTTCCGAGCCTTAAATCAACACCTGCGGTTCCCGGGGGTGCTACCACTGGGGCCCGCAGCAAGGCTCCGCGGCGCTAGGCCCGAGAAACCGAAACTCCCCTAGTCGCCCCTGCCCCCCAGCACTCGCGCCATTGCCTCCAGCCCCGAGCCACCATTGTTTCCAGTGCCAAATCGGGCAGCCCCGCTAGCCTCCGAGGCCGAACCGCCAGGGGCCCCATAAGCCCCGAGGAGGCTCGTCGGGAACCGCTTCCTTATCCTCTCGGTATGCGCATCGCCACCACCCTCGCTGCAGAGGCCGCCGCCCTCCCAGCGCGCCATCACCGCCTCCTCTGCCTCTTCCCCTCCCTCAGCCCCGGCCCCTGCATTGACTTGGCTCGGGCTGCGCCTCACTGCGCCTGCCAACTGTCACACGCTCTGAGGCTTTCAACAGCGGGGCGCCAGGGACAAACAAGCCGCGGCAAGCGCAAACAGCCTGCTCAAACAGGGACGGCCAGGGTGTTGTTTGACCAGCACTGGAATTGGAAACTAGGTTTCGAAGAAGTCAAATCGAAGTACAATATTGTATTTTAAACTGCCTGTTGTTATTACATCCCTCACAACGCACGCTCTACTTGAAACTTCCAGTGGATACCAACTGCACTTAGAATAAAAAATGAAACTCCTTGCCTAACTCTGGGACCTCATCAGCACATACTCACCATATTTTGGTAACAAAGGCCTTCATGCTGTTCCCGGAAGTCGCCAAGTTCCATCCATCATTGTTAATAATTCCTTTTGCTCGCTCCTCGCACAAGAACTGTTTCTTCTGCTTAGTGCTTTGCCTACTGATTCCATCTTGTCATTTAAGTCTCGGCTCAAATGTCACCTCTGCAAAGAACCCTTGTCTGACCATACATCTAAAATAGCCACAAACACTCTATAAAGACTTGGCCTTGCTTTATTTCCTTCTCAGCACTCATCACTGTCTGAAACAATGTTTTGGATTTGTTGCTTATTATCAGTCTCCCTTCTCAAGAATGCAAGCTTTGTGAGGGCAGAGTCGTAATCTTTTTTAAGGCTGTATCCCCAATGCCTGGGTAAGTATACAATAAATAATTTTTGCATGAATAAGTGAAGGACATAGTGGTGTTTAGAGTTCACTTCCACTGCTGCAAACCCTTCCAGTTAATGACTCCATACTGAATGATGTGTTTGATCAGTACAGAGAAGGTGTCTGTATCATATGATACCTCAGAGCTGCTATCTCCCTAATGTGTGAAAGGTAATCAGAACCGTTAGGCTGGCCCCTAGTACTGACATTTTAGAACCAAAAATAGTGAACCACAGGAGCTGATGTATCCCAGTTCAGATATTATATAGTACACGCAGAGCTAGATTTTGTTAACATACTTCACACATTGTATTGCTTAAATAAGACGCTCTTCTCTATATTTTAGGTCATGTCATGTTCCCTTGAAGTTCCTTTTGCAACCAAACCACTTAGTATAGGAGATATTTAAAACACTGCAGCTTGTTAAATCACCTCACCTCACTTCACCTGTAACCTACAGTCTATCATGCTTTTAAGTGTGAAACATGTTACCTTGTGTTTTGTTTTACATATCCCAACTCTGCAGAGACGTGATAAAAAAAAATGCACTAGCGAATATAGGTGGATCATTATGTCTTTTTGAGATTTCTTTGACAAAGAGACAAATGATTTCTTTGCCAACCTCTTGCCTCCCACCCCTCCCATTCCTTCACACACACAAAGACATGAAGGACCATTTAAAGACATGTAAAAATACAAAAAATAAAATTAGCCGGGAGTGGTGGCACACACCTGTAATCCCAGCTATTCCGGAGGGTGAGGCATGAGAAGCTGAGGCATGAGAATCACTTGAACCCGGGAGGCGGAGGTTGTGATGAACCAAGATCACACCACTGCACTCCAGCCTGGGCGACAGAGCAAGACTCCATCTCAAAAAAAAAAAAAAAAAAAAAAAAGACGTGGTTTTGTATAAGAAGTAAAAATAGTAAACAAACGAAATGTTTCAGAAGCCTACCTAGGAGCAAAAGAATAATAATGAAGTTTGTTTTGTTTCAACGGATACTGTTTTACATTTGACTTCATAGAGCCTTTTTGAGGGAATATGATATCACAATTTCACAACCAAAACCCATTATGTTTTTATCTTTAACACCCGCCTATCCTCCCACACAGAACTTCCTCTTTAGTTTAAGAATATGACAGTTTAAGTTATTATGAAGTTACGATTCATTATCAAAGGAGATAATGTGACATTATCTACTATACCCATCTACTGTCTTCGGAATCATTGCTCTCTACCATTTAACACTTGAAAACCATTAATTTGGAGAGTTAATTATAATACATAATAAATAGCATGACAGGAAAAAAATATAAGCACCCTGAAAAACAAATTGCATTTGTTTAAAGAACTGACAAACTTGATAATCAATGAATATAGGGATATTTTTATCAAAATAAAACACTTGGTATTCCATAGATCAGCAAATCCAAGCCTCACATTGAAACAGATAAGGAGGGAACTACTGTCTAGAGAGGGTAGAATATTTACGCACAATCCACGAGCAGACATGGACTGGAACTCAGGCCATCTGTGTTCTAAACCAGTGCTTCAGAGTTTTCTGTTGTCTCCCAGTTTCCACAAGCAAATTGGGGTCAATGACAAAAATCCACGAAAAGAATATGGAATAGAGAGAAATATAGCTAATTTCATCTATTAGAAGTCTATTCCATTAATCATTTAATTAAGATTCCAACTTAATTAGTTGATATTCCATAGGGAATTTGGATTCAGCCCTGCTAAGTGATCTTTCTAATTATTTTGAAATAAGCAACAATACATTAATTCATTGAACACATTTGAAAATGTTATTTGTTCAGCACTCGAATAAATGGAGGAAGCTGCTTCCCGCCAGGGCAAGGCTGACCATCATGAGGTTTCCGGCCACCCTAAGGACCGAAGGAGTCAATATCTCATTGCCTTTGTAACCCATTTGTAGCATACATACACTGCATTAATTAGTAATGTTTGAAGTTGTATCAAATCAAGAAATGTTTAGAGCACAGAAGAAAGCAGAATAATTATCTAATAAAGTTCAAGTAGAGCTTAGGCATTAGCAAAAAAACGCAGCCAAATAAAGTGAAAGGTTATTATTTGGAAAGAACAGTGATATACTAGTTCAGATTCCTTGGGCTACAAAAGACAAAACTCTGAGTAAAACTAGTTTAAATGATACAGACATTTATCATTTCATATAACAAGTCCACTGATAAGATAATCTTCAATCACAGCTCACCAGCCTCATCAAGAGCCCAACTTCTCTCTCTCCACTCTTCAGTCCTCTATATGAGCAATTCCCCAAAGCCCAGACTACCATATGGTCAAAAGTTGGCTGCAGCAGGGGAGGAAGAAGGAACTTACTCTTCCGTGTCTCTTTCTTGAGAGCAGGGGAAACCCTTCTCAGAAATTCCCCATTAGAATTCTCCTTAGGTCTCATTTACCAAAACTATATTTTGTACATTTGTAGACCAATCACTGGAAATGAAAATGAGGTTATAATTGAGACAGAGTAGAAATGGGGCTTAGCTTCACCTCACCCCTACTAGAGCATTCTTTCATGCACCCTCACCGAGCACAAAACCTACACTACTACCTCACTGATGCCTTAATGTTTAAACCATGCCTTTTACTTAAAGAATTCCAGGAACTAGGCTGGGCACAATAGCTCACACCTGCAATTCCAGCACTTTGGGAGGCCAAGGTGGGAGGATTGCTTGGGCCCAGAAGTTCAAGACCAACGTGTACCCCACAGCAAGACCTCATTTCTACAAAAAATTGAAAAATTAGCTAAGCGTGGTGGTCTGTGCCTTTGGTCCCAGCTACTCAGGAGGCTGAGGTGGGAGGATTGCTTGAGCCTGGAAGGTGGAGGCTGCAGCAAGCCAAGATCACACCACTGCACTCCAGCCTGGGCAACAGAGTGAGATCCTGTCTGGGAAAAAAAAAAAAAAAGATTTCCCAGAACTGGCCTTAGGAGATGACCAAGGTTGTGGAGTGTCCTAGGTAGGGAAGGAATGCTGAACAATTGATTTACAGCCTTGTTGCCTCTGGCTGCCCATTACTCAAGATAGCCATACTAACCAGGTAATGCTGACCTGCATAGCCTACACATGATATGCTTTGCCCAGTCCAGCCTGCATATCCTACCCCTGATGTCAATTCCCGCACTTTGCCTAATAAAAAACCACGACTAGTTCTTTTTGGGGAGTCAGTCAGGGAATTCTCTCTTTTGTGCTACCTCCCTTATGTCCAAGCATAAGCTCCAATGAAGGCTTGTCTAGGGAAACTGTTTTGGCCTCACATCAATCTCTATTGCATTGACAGCCCAAGAACCAGTGGTCAGTAACACTATGACTAGTTTCTTAGACAAAGTACAGCCTAAATCTGCTGAGTTTAAGATCACCTTCCTTGTTTCGTATGGGAGGAGAGGGGTATTTGAACAAAACCATTTTCCATTCAGAAAGGAAAAGGGGAGTGTCAACTGAGGAATGATGAGGTTCACAAATTTGGAAAGTTATTTCTCATAAAGGGTTGCAGCCTGTAGGGTGGCCATGCTGACAGGCTGACCCCACAGCCAGAAGCCAGAAACAGACACTCTGAGGGAGGGGCAAAGAGAACAGGAATTTATGCTGAGCAGGGTGGCCAAATATATGTATTCAATAAGCTATAGGAGGAGTCATGAATATTTATCAAAGGATAAATGTGTGCATGCGCAATGGAGCTTCATGCCCCTTCATGGGTCCCATATACAAAAAATGGCAGTGTTAACATGATCCGAGGGTGGAGTTTTCAGTCCTCTGACATCAAAAGGTGAAGCAGAGGACATGAAAACTCTTACTGTGCATTCTCTGGAGATGGGCCAGAACCACTCCATGTGGTGATCTCTTATCAGGCAAAAAACTAGAGGCAATATCAGGTGGTTGGTTGATATTAGGGGTGGAATCTTTCAAAAGGGCTGGTTTCCGTTTAGCCCTTAGGGAAGAAAGGCTAATCCTGAATATTGAGGAAGGGGTATAATAAGGCTTGTTTGACCCTGGCATCCTGTCATGAATGAGAATTTAGTTTTCAAGGTTACCCTGGGGTCCCCTTGGCCAAGACATGGTCTGTTCAGTCACTTGGGAGGCTTAGAATTTTATTTTTAGTTTACAGGAGTTAAGCAACCAAAATGTTAGGCAGGCAACCTAAATGTCCACTAAAGGTTATAAACACTGATATATTTTAATAAATAAGTGCCCTAAGGCACTTATATAGGAAAGTAAAGATGGAGCCATTAAATACAATGTAATTTTTTATATAATTGATTAATATAATTAGGATTACAAACCAAGAAGTGGTATATTATTGTAAATGAAAAGAGTCAAACTCTGTAAAATATTTGAAGAGATTTATTCTGAGCTAAATATGAATGGCCATCACCCATTACAGAGGACCAGGAGATCCTGAGAACATATGCCAAGCATGCCTGTAGTCCCAGCTACTTAGGAGGGTGAGGCAAGAGAATCATTTAACTGAGGAGGCAGAGGTTGCAGTGAGCCAAGATCATGCCACTACACTCCCGCCGGGGTGCACTACACTCCAGCCTGGGTGACAGAGTGAAGCCCCGTCTCAAGAAGAAAGAAAGGAAGGAAGGAAGAAAAAAAAGGAAGGAAGGAAGGAAAAGAAAAGAGGGAGGGAGGGAAGGAAGGAAAGAAGGAAGGAAGGAGAAAGAAAAGTAGATCTAACTTATTTTGGGCATGTGTATTAGTTTACTAGTGTTAGCAATGGCAAATCCGTCGGGTCTGCAGAAACTCTATTTTTGCCTTCTTGGAGGAAAGAATTCTGCTGAGGGGCATAAGGCAGAGAGACTGAGGCAACTTTTAGAGCAGGAGTGAAAGTTTATCAAAAAGTTATAGAGCAGGAATGAAAGGAAGTAAAGTACACTTGCAAGAGGGCCAAGTGTACCTGAGAGATCCAAGTGCACTGTTTGGCCCTTGACTTGGGGGTTTTACACATTGGCATGGTGCCAGGATTTCTGTGTCTCCTCCCTTGCTTTATCCCTTGTGGTGGGCTGTCTGCATGTGCTGTGACCTGCCAGCACTAGGGAGCGATCACCTTACTGAAGTTGTACACATGTTCACTTGAGGTGTTTTCGCCTTACCAGTTGAGCAATCCTAGAGGAAGGCCATATACTTGTTGTATGCCATTTTGCCTCTTAGTGCACATGCTTGAGCCCTCTTACCCATCTCATGAGATCTTACTGAGAAGCTGCTGATCACCAGCTTCTGTTGTTTTCTATCTATTGCGAGATTGCCTTTCCCTGACGCTGGCTGCAACCAGTTACTATTTTAGAGAGACAGTATAACAATTGCCTCTCTAAAATAGTAGACATGGATGGGGAGCTCTGCTGTCATGCTCATGTCTGCCTGGCTACCTATTCTAACACTAGGGCTACTGTAAAACCTAGTGCATTCTGAATGACTTAAACAACAGAAATTCATTATCTCATAGTTCTGGAAGATAGAAGTCCAATATCAAGGTGTTGGTAGGACCATACTCCCCCTAAAGGCACTAGGGAAGGATCTGTTCTAGGCCTATCTCCTAGGTTCTAATAGTCCCTAGGCTTGTGGCAAGTAACTCCAGTGTTCACATGACATTCTTCCTGTGTGCATACCTGTGTCCAAACTTCCTCTTTTAATAAGGACACTAGTCATATTGAATTGGAAGCCCACCCTACTCCAGTATGACCTTATCTTAACTAATACATCTGCAACAACCCTATTTCAAATAAGGTCACATTCTGAAATATGGGGGATTATAAATTTAACAGATAAATTTTGGAGGACACTATTCAACTCATAACAACTTCATTGTAATGGAAATAAGGTTGAAGATAAGTATCAACAAAGTATGCTTCAAAGGATAGTATCAAGAAATGAAAAGATAGCCAGGCGTGGTGGTTCATGTCTATAATCCCAGCACTTTGAGAGGCTGAGGTGGGCGGATCACTTGAGGCCAGAAGTTTGAGACCAGCTTAGCTAAAAATACAAAATACAAGAAATTAGCTGTGTATGGTGGTCTGTGTCTGTAATCCCAGCTACTCAATAGGCTGAGGCATGAGAATCACTTGAACCTGGGAAGCAGAGTTTGCAGTGAGCAGAGATCATGCCACTGCACTCCAGCCTGGGCAAAAGAGCAAGACTCTGTCTCAAAGAAAGAAAGAAAGAAAGAAATGAAAAGACAGTTCACAGAATAGGAGAAAATACTTACAAACCAAGGGACTTCACAAGGGACTTGTATCTAGCATATATAAAGAATTTTTAAATTTAATGATAAAAGATAAATAATCCAATTAAAAGTAGGCAAAGGACTGTAATTCCAGCACTTTGGGAGGCCAAGACGGGCAAATCACGAGGTGAGGAGATTGAGACCATCCTGGCTAACACAGTGAAACCCCGTCTCCACTAAAAATACAAAAAATTAGCCAGGCGCGGTGGCGGGCGCCTGTAGTCCCAGCTACTTGGGAGGCTGAGGCAGGAGAATGGCGTGAACCCGGGAGGCGGAGCTTGCAGTGAGCCGAGATTGCGCCACTGCACTCCAGCCTGGGCGACTGAGCGAGACTCCGTCTCAAAACAAACAAAAAAAAAAAGTAGCAAAGGATCTGAATATTATTTCTCCAAAGAAGATATACAAATGGCCAATGAGACATGAAAAGCTGTTCAGTGTCATTAGTCATCAGGGAAAAGCAAATCAAATCCAAAATAAGCCACCACTTCACATCTACTAGGATAGCTACAATAAAAAAACCAGATAATAGTAAATACTGGCAAAAATGTAGAGAAATTATAAGCCACATACACTGCTGATGGGAATGTAAAATGGTGTAGCTGCTTTCAAAAACAATCTGGCAGCTCCCCAAAAGGTTAAGCAACAGTTACCATGTGATCCAGCAATTCCATTCCTAGATATATACCCAAAGGACCAGAAAACTTATGCACATTCAAAAACTTGTACATAGACTGGGTGTGGTGGCTCACACCTGTAATCCCAGCACTTTGGCAGGCTGAGGTGGATGGATCACTTGAGTTCAGGAGTTCAAGACCAGCCTGGGCAACCTGGTGAAACCCCGTCTCTATGAAAAATAAAAAAATTAGCCAGGCATGGTGATGCATGTCTGTAGTCCCAGCTACTTGTGGGGCTGAGGCGGGAGGTTCGCTTGAGCCTGGGAGATCGAGGCTGCAGCGAGCTGAGACTGCACCAGTGCACTCCAGCCTGAGCAACAGAGTAAGACCCTGTCTTGAAACAAACAAACAAACAAACAAAAATGGTAGATGAATGTTCATAGCTGCATTATTCACAATAGCCAAAAAGTATAAACAACACAAACGTCCATCAACTGATGAATGGATAAATAGAATGTGAAACATTTATATGTATAATAGAATATTATTCAACAATAAAAAGAAAGTACTGACATGTTAAAACATAGATGAACCTTTTAAAAATTATGTTAGGTGAAAGAAACCAGTTACAGAAGACCATATATTGTTATTATTCCACTTATTTGAAATGTATTGTATCATTCCATTTATATGAAATGTCCAGACTAGGCAAATCTATAGAAACAGAAAGTAGATTAGTGATTTCCTTAGACTGAAGGGAGGCAAGAATGGGAAGTGTCTGCTAATAAGTATAGGGTTTTTTGTTAGGGTGATGAAAACATTCTGAAATTGATCGTTTTGCTAGGCACTCAACCCTGTGACTATACTAAAAACCATTGAATTATAAACTTTAAATGGATGAATTTTATGCCATGTAAATTATATCTCTGATATAAAACTGATAAACTGATATATATGAAAGACTTGAGGTTATACTTTTTAGAAACCATAATAACAATGCTTGATTAAAATGAAACAGTAATGGCTGGGCATGGTGGCTCAAGCCTGTAATCCCAGCACTTTGGGAGGCCCAGGTGGACAGATCATGAGGTCAGGAGGTTGAGACCATTTTGGCTAACACGGTGAAACCCCATCTCTACTAAAAATACAAAAAATTAGTCGGGCGTGGTGGCACGCGCCTGTAGTCCCAGCTACTTGGGAGGCTGAGGCAGGAGAATCACTTGAACCTGGGAGGCAGAGGTTGCAGTGAGCCGAGATCACGCCACTGCAGCCCTGGGCGACAGAGCGAGACTCCGTCTCAAAAAAAAAAAAAAAAAAAAAGCAAATTATACTGTGAGTATCTCCATTCACCATTGCTCAAGCAAGTTTGTTTTCCCCCATCTGGTTGCTACTATTTAAAAAGGTACAGATTTCATTCAATTAAACACTAACCTATTTAGAAACAGAAATGCTATAGAAAATTCTACAGGTATAGATATATCATTTCCATTTTTTCCCAAATGGAACCCTAAGCCTACTAGAAATGCTTAGAAAGAAATCTTCACTCTGGAAGTCCAAACTGTGGTGACTGTTAAATTTCTTGAAGGAGCTTGTTAACAAAACAGATTTCTGGGCATTGTTCCCCGAAATTTCAATTCAGTTGGTCTGAGATATTGCCTAAAATCTGCATCTTTATCAAGTGATTGTGACACAGGTGGTCCTCAGATAATCCTGCACTGAAGGAATTCTAGGGTAAATAAGGAGCAGTGTGTTTAGTAGAAACTGCACTACATTTACTACAGGGTAAATGAAGGGCAGCCCAGGACTGAGGTGAGAGCCTGGGCCCTGGAGGTAGACTCTTAAGGGTTCAAATTCTGCCTCTGCCACTTCCTACCTCTGTGCCTGGGGCAAGTTCCCTGAGCTTCACTTTCTCCTTTGTAAAATGAGGACAAGTACCCTCACAGAGTTAGTGTAAGGATGAGACAAATTCACATAATTATACTTAGAACAGAGACTGGCACAAAGTAAGCACTAAAGATGTATTTGCTGTTACTATTGTATGTGAATTATAAAATTTAAATACCATGTAGATCACTTGCAAAGAAGTTTAGACTTGTAATAGCAAACCAATTTCTATAACGGTAACATATTCCAATCTGATCATTTAAAATAATGATGTGCTGGCAAACCAAGTTTTCGGTGTTGAGTTGGCATCTAAGCCCTAGGTTGGATGGGGCCTACCTAGGCCAGGAAGTGACTAGGATGATGGGCCTACCTATATAGCCATAAAAAGCAATCACAGCCTTTCTTCCATAAAAGTCAGAAGATAGAAAAAACATTTTTTGAAATGATGTGGGCCAGGCACAGTGGCTCATGCCTGTAATCCCAGCACTTTGAGAGGCCGAGGTGGGTGGATCACCTGAGGTCAGGAGTTCAAGACCAGCTTGGCCAACATGGTGAAATCCCGTCGCTACTAAAAATACAAAAATTAGCCTGGCATGGTAGCAGGTGCCTGTAGTCCCGGCTACTCGTGAGGCTGAGGCTGGAGAATCACCTGAACCCGGGAGGTGGAGGTTGCAGTGAGCCGAGATCACGCCATTGCATCGCTCCCAGCCTGGGCAACAGCAAGACTACATTTCAAAAAAAAAAAAAAATCTGTTAGCCCGAATTGTTATTGACTTGCTCTTTCTAGAGAGATGTTTATACTCTTGAATATTCTGATTTAGTTTTCCTTTTTGTTTGTTTCTTACAGCTATGCTAAAATAAAGCTTGCCCAAGGTTCACTCCCATAAAATGTGTCCTTGAGCTTTTTGTTTGTTTTTTAGCTTGAGAAGGTCCTATAATATTTGTGCTGAAAATTACATTTGACTATGATTCTTGGCTGACTCTCAGCTGATTCAGGTGCTTTTTTCCTCCCTTTGGCTGATGGTTGCCAGCACAGGCTGTCAGTCAGTCAGCACCATTTATGGAGGGCCCCTGGTGTGCAGGGCCTCAAAGAGACCTCAAAACAAAACAGGAGCTAACGCTTCACTTTTATGGCACATACAATCTATTGGGCCAATCAGGACAAGCACACAGGATACATACATAATACATGAAACATGACACAGACATATACCATCGTGTACTAGCAGGATCAGCCTGAGGCAAATTTTCCATTTCTTCCTCACTTCCAGGTGCTGCTTTACAGCCGACAAATATTTATCAAATGACATCTGTGTAACATCCTTGAGTAAGTGACAGATACTGCCCTTAATTTCCTCCTACCCAACCAGTACTTTCTAAGCTATTGGCCACTTTCCACAACTCACTCCCCAAGCCCGTCTCCCAACTTCAGGGTCCTCTTTCTCTCCTCAGGGCCCTTTGCTTAGCTAGCTATAAAGAAATATTAATTTTTTAAGATGTCACACTAAAGCATGACTAGTGAGTTACAATGTAATATTTTAACTTTTTATTAGTCCAAAGGAATAAATCTATAATGGTGAAATTATAAAAGAAAAGGCAACTGGATATTTTGACGTGTATGAAGTTTCTTTCTTTTTCTTTTTTTTTTTTTTTTGAGACAGAGTCTCACTGTGTCGCCCAGGCTGGAGTGCAGTGGCCTGATCTCGGCTCACTGCAAGCTCTGCCTCCTGGGTTCCCGCCAGTCTCCTGCCTCAGCCTCCCAAATAGCTGGGACTACGGGCGCCCGCCACTGCGCCCGGCTAATTTTTTGTATTTTTAGTAGAGACGGGATTTCACCGTGTTAGCCAGGATGGTCTCGATCTCCTGACCTCATGATCTGCCCGCCTCGGCCTCCCAAAGTGCTGAGATTACAGGCGTCAGCCACTACGCCCCGCCTGAAGTTTCTTTTTTTAGACAGCACGTTTTAGGTTTGGATTTGCAAGGCCAGCACTGTTGCTGTTATTTCTTTCCAGGTCCTCAGTGAGACCGAGGGGTCAACAAATAGTATGTTTCCCTTGGTCTTAAAATCCAAACAGCCAGGACCTGGCGTGGTGGCTCACACCTGTAATTCTAGCCCTTTGTGAGCCCAAGGCGGCAGGACGGGAGCTTGAGACCAGTGTGGAAAACATAGTGAGACCCCCATCTCTACAAAAATTAAAAAATAAAAATTAGACAGCCATTGTGGTGCACATCTTCAGTCACAACTACGTGGGAAGCTGAAGCAGGAGGATCACCTGAACCCAGAAACTGAAAGTTACAGTGAGCTACGATCGTGACACTCCAGCTTGGTCAACAGAGCAAGACCTTGTCTCAAAAAAAACAAAAAACAAAAAACAAAAAACAAAAAACATCCAAATAGTGAGGCCTCGCAGAGGCACAGTTGTTTGAAACTAGAAGAATAATATGCTCGTCCTACCTAATAATGGCTTCTCTGTAAGATATAAGTTATGCGCTTTGATTAGTAGTTGCATAACTTTTATCTACAGATAACGCACAACTTAGAACAAGAATAAATAAATACAAATCTTTAAATGCTATCCAGCCTCTTTCACTAACAACTTATTCATTGTTGCTTGAGTAACTCTAATTTAGTCTCTGAGTGTGAGTGAAGTTAACTCACCCGGACAGAGGGTCTGACAACTGCGAGCTCTGTCTGGTTCACATAGATTGTGCACAATTGTTTCAAACCAGATCTTTCTTTTGATTCCTATTAGCTCAAGTCTCTCTACCTGTTTGCCCCCAGCCAGCTAGAAAGCCCTGTTTGTCCTTCTACGACTCCTGCTTTTAGTCTTTGGCTCTACATCTGAAGATATGAATAGAAAGAAAATAAAATTATATGCCAGCAGTCTTATGTGCCCCAAGCCTCATCCTGGCCTTTTTCCATTTTTGAGTTTTAAAAGAGTGTTCTTTCTATCCTTTTCCCAACTCCAACTCAATATATTAGAGACGAGATAGAATTTGCAACTTAATTGACTAGAAAACAGTTTTTTTTGTTTTTGTTTTGTTTTTTTGAGACGGAGTCTCTCTCTGTCGCCCAGGCCGGAGTGCAGTGGCCTGATCTCGGCTCACTGCAAGCTCCGCCTCCCGGGTTCGTGCCATTCTCCTGCCTCAGCCTCCCGAGTAGCTGGGACTACAAGAGCCTGCCACCGCGCCCGGCTAATTTTTTGTATTTTTAGCAGCGACGGGGTTTCACCGTGTTAGCCAGGATGGTCTCGATCTCCTGACCCTGTGATCCGCCCGCCTCGGCCTCCCAAAGTGCTGGGATTACAGGCGTGAGCCACCGCGCCCGGCCTAGAAAACAGTTTTTAAAGCGGAATACAGTTTTAAAACTGAGAAAAAAATGTCCTTTGTATGTTTTCAGTATTTTCACAGACAATTTATTCTGGCCAACTCAAAATGAAGTTTATAATTTTAACTGTGGTATTCTTTGGATGACTAAAGGGACATACCAGGTGCTATTACTATGGGAATTCCTTACGGAGGAATGAGCCTGAAATATAGTATTGAAAGAAAGAAATATGACATAATTCAACAGAGGAAGGCATGAATTTTGAAGTGTGGGAAATCATGTGTGTAAATAACAAGATGAGAATTACTGAGTCATGTACTGAGAATAGAAAACCAGTTTCCTGACCTTCTCTGTCAGCATAGTAGAGGATTAGGACATCTGGAAGAAAGAAGAATACATTTGTAAAAGATCTTGAATTTATGGTTGGGAAGGAAAGATTGTAGAAACGAGTAAGAAATAAAATGTTTTTCTACCTTGTTTGTTAGTTAAGTATGCATTTCTCAGACTTTCTAAAGATTTCTCACTATGAATACTAAACATTTTCCTGATTTAAATCCTAAACAAATGATCTGTTTATACTGCCAGCTTTCTAAGTATAATGCAGACTTAGGTATTTGTACATAAGAAAATAAATGATTATGGTTTCTGGGAATATGCTAGAATAGATACCTTAACTGACCTTCCTGCTAAAAATAACTAAAAATGTAGAATAAAATTATTTTAATGCATTGATGACCTGGAAAGTTAGTAAGGAATACTCTTGGATCAGAAACTAAGTGAAGGCAGGAATCCCAAGGGGTAAGCCGAAGGCTGAGGCCAACTTTCACCTTGAGAGCATCTGAAGCTTCTGTTTTTATGCCTTCGAGAGTGCTGGGGACAGATGACAAAGCCCAGGGCCTGCCCAAGTTAGGGAGCATAATAAAAAACAAAATTCAGGTACAGTCTCTTTGCAAAAGACTCATCTAAAACTAAAGGATCCAGAAACATATCAGGGGAAGTGGTAACTTAAATATTACTAGAGATCAGAGTTTAACATCTGGTACTGACAGCTACAGAATGTATGAATAAGAAGAAAGTGAATTAACACCCTTTTAAGGAAACTACCCAGCACAGACTATTAAAATAGAAGATTATATGAAATACACATATGCTTCGACCTAGTAAAGCCACTTCTTTCATGATCCTTTTCAGACTTTCTTCCTTATGATTTGGAGACCTGGCTTTGATGAGATTAAGATACCAGGAAGCAGACAACCAAGTGCATGATTGGTTTAAAGTTTGTAAATGTATAAGTTGTAAACCACTATATGTTGAAATTTTAAAAATAGTGATACGTGGTTACATGGATGAAAGAAGGTCAATAAAGAATAGAAGTGAAGGAAAAGTAGCAGAGTAAAAATGTGGCCATTTTGAGCAGGCTTATGTTTGGTAGACATTAGTGTTCAGGTGGAAAACTAGTTCCTATGACTATTTGGAGGCTTGCCCTATGGCTGGGGGTGGGATAAAACACAAAACAAAAAATTTAAAAGACCAAAAACCCCTGGAACTTCCTCAGAAAATCAGGATTCCTTGCAGTAGTTTCTGGCCAGTTCTGCTCATCTAGAACCTCAAATGGGCTCAATGTCATAACAAGGAATGAAGAGCAGTAGCATGTACTGATATAGGACAAGAAAATCCTTACCATGGCAGTTAGACTCCTTTTTTTTTTTTTTTAAATGACAGGGTCTAGCTCTGTCACCCAGGCTGGAGTGCAGTGGCATGATCTTGGCTCACTGCAACCTTCACCTCCCAGGATCAAGTGATCCTCTCACCTCAGCCTCCCGTGTACCTGGGATACATGTGCCACCATGCTAGGCTAATTTTTGTATTTTTTTGTGGAAACGGTTTCGCCATGTTGCCCAGGCTGATCTTGAACTCCTGGGCTCGAGTAATCCCCCTTCTTGGCTTCCCAAAGTGTTGGGATTACCTGCATGAGCCGCCACACTTGGCTAGTTAGACTCTTGAGGGTCAAAGTGTCCACTCTTCCCCATACAAAGCCATTGGTTCTGGGCTTTCATAATCTGAAAGATTTCTCATTATGAGTGAGTTGCTGGAACCACATAATTCTCAATGGGCCTTGTGAAGAATGGGGGAGGCCCAGAGAAGTCAAACCTGTTCACCTCATCATATATTCATGATCTTGCATATAACTTTTTCACATCTGATTCATTCAGGGTAAAAGAAAGTAAAAGTAACACAACCAAGTCTGAAGTTGGTGTTGGTGGCCTGGCATCTACCACAAGGCTTTTGAAATACTACACTAATAAGTACAATACATTTATTTTTAAAAATCTATTTATTTATCAAAACAGTATTGGCACAGTAATTCTCATATTATCATCAAATAATAAAATTGCTACTTTCTGTACTCAATTCTTTAGAATCCTAGAAATTGCAAATGCATTCAATTTAACAATATTGTAAATAACAATACAAAAGAAAGAACTCTGCATATTTATGGAAACATTGTTGATGGTACAGTTCTACTGAAACTCATACACATTTCACTATTTAATTTACATATGGTCTTGTTGAAAAAAACCAGTATGTTTTACTTTTTCAATTTCCTTATGCTAAAATACATGTAATTCTAAAGGATATCTCTTAGGTGTTATAAAAACCAAGGAAGGTCCACCACCAAGTCAAAGTTAGAGTCAAAGATACTTCAAAGATTCCATGAAATGATCTGAAAACAAATTTAACCAAAAAATGTGTACTGTATTGGGGCACATCCATGGCCACCCAAACTGTATTCTATCTCTGACTGTGGCATCAAAGAAAGGTATATGGAATTATAATTGACCTTCATGATATTGCTCCAAAGTGGATTGACTAACACTTTCCCCTCTTGACCCAACATCCCAAGTCTTCCTTAATAATGCAAACATCAGTCATTTACATATTGTTTTGAGTCTTTCTAAAACTTATCTGTATTTTTATACTGTCTCATATATAGGATCACAAATTAAGTTTACTATCTGTATGTAGAGTGATCTTTTCTTTCTTTATTCCAAACTACCTTATTCAAATAATTAAGAGAAGCATTTAGCAGGGCATTTCAGAGAGCAAGAAGCGCCCTTAAAAGAAGGAGGTGGGGGGTTTCCTTAAAATATGAAGAAATGCTAAAGCTGGGTTATAAAATATGGTGCTGCATCTAAATATTTACATTCAATTATCATTTAACCGAAAATACACAATACAATCTAATTCTGCAAATTTCAAAAGATTTATTAAAAATGCAATAGTGTATGAATTATATTCCTTTCTTGTGTCTCTGTGAGGGCAGATTCGACTTCATTTGGAATGATCTCAAAAATCTACCCTTGAGGTACTTCATGAATGTAAGGCTTAAACCAAATGGTATGAATTATATTCCTTTTCCTTTTGTATCTCTGTGAGGGCAGATTTATTCATTTGACCATTCATTCATTTGACCAGAGACCATTCATTTGGAATGCTCTCAAAAATCTACCCTTGAGGTTCTTCATGAATGTAAGGCTTAACCCAAAAGGCCTTCCTGGCCTTCTTGATAAACCCTGACACCTAGTTTCTAATAATCTGAGATTTGGTGGCAAAGTCTCTGGTTTCCTGATCCTTGCCTTTCATAGTTTGTATATTTTATGCATTGGCTAATTTTCCTTGGACGTAAAACTGGTTGGGCAAACTATAGAATACTAAGCAAGGTTAAAAAAATTAAAGAAGCAAAATAGTGGCATAGCGTGAAGCAATGGAGAAAGTCACTTGAGGCTAAATAATTACAGCTGTATCTATATATCTATGTCTGTATCTCCACATATATCCATTATTCAGGAAGTTTACTTTTAAATAGGATACTGAACTGGCCTTCCCCCACCACTCCATCATCATGCATCTTTTGGCTGGATACGATAGCTGAGAGCAGGCAGCTGCACTGCCTGATTTCTTGAGACTTCTTGTTGGTTAGACAAAATATCCACAGCTCTTGACTTGAGCTTCACTGGTGTTACCCTGTTTGACTTCATGCAGGCAGTCATGTCTGATGTACCTTTTCTTTTCTTTTCTTTTTCTTTTTCTTTTTTTTTTTTTTTTTTTTTTTGAGACAGAGTCTCGCTCAGTCACCCAGGCTGGAATGCAGTGGTGCAATCTCGGCTCACTGCAAGCTCCACCTCCCGGGTTTATGCCATTTTCCTGCTGCAGCCTGCCGAGTAGCTGGGACTACAGGCACCTGCCACCATGCCCGGCTAATTTTTTGTATTTTTAGCGGAGACGGGGTCTCACCGTGTTAGCCAGGATGGTCTCCATCTCCTGACCTCGTGATCCGCCCTTCTCAGCCTCCCAAAGTGCTGGGATTACAGGCGTGAGCCACCGCGCCCAGCCTACTTTTTCTATTGACCATTTAAGTATTAACCATTAGCCAAGTCCTCAGAGTCGGAAGATTCTTCTCCAGCCATTTTATATTTTTGGTTATCGTTTCCAGAACAGTTTGAAAAATATCCAGATGTGATCCTTGAGCCTCAAGAGATTCAAAAAATAGTTTCACCTGTAAAATATTGAAGAAAAAAATTACTAACACTTTGTCTTGGCCGAGTGTGGTGGTTCACACCTGTAATCCCAGCACTTCGGGAGGCCAAGGTGGGCAGATCAATTGAGCTCAGGAGTTCAATACGAGCCTAGGCAACATGCCAGAACCCCTGACTCTACAAAAAATAACAACAACAACAACAAAAATTAGTCGGACATGATGGTGCATGCCTGTAGTCCCAGCTACTTGGAAGGCTGAGGCGGGAGGATTGCTTGAACCCAGCAGGTGGAGGTTACAATGAGCCAAGATGGTGCCACTGCACTCCAGCCTGGCTGACAGAGCGAGGCAGTTTCAAAAATAAAGAAACAATAAAACCACTTCGTCTTCCAAAAATTTTCAAAAGAGCTTGCAAATTACATACACACAGGTATAGGCATTTCTCTGCCAACCTCTAAAAGGTTATTTTCTACTTTTCTGCATAATTGTTCACTTTATTTTCAAACAATAGGTAAAGTAAGACAAAAATTATAAATCCTCATCTTACAAGTGACCACAATGTGGCTAAAGAAGTTAAATGATTTACCCAAGTCATAGAGTAAATGGTGAGCTGGGATTTAAGTTCAGGAATTCTGAATTTGCCTAAAGGGTAAATAAATTCAAGATTTATTGTGAAAAGAAGGTGCAAAGACTATAATGCTTTAAAAAAAAAAAAAAGATAGGCTGGTGGCTCACGCCTGTAATCCCAGCACTTCGGGAGGCCAAAGTGGGTGGATCACGAGGTCAGGAGATCGAGACCACCCTGGCTAACACAGTGAAACCCCATCTCTACTAAAAAAAAATACAAAAAAATTAGGTGGGCATGGTGGCAGCCTCCTGTAGTCCCAGCTACTCGGGAGGCTGAGGCAGGAGAATGGCGTGAACCTGGGAGGCGGAGCTTGCAGTGAGCCGAGATCGCAAGCCACTGCACTCCAGCCTGGGCAACAGAGCAAGACTCCGCCTCAAAAAAAAAAAAAAAAAAAAAAAGATAACTAGAATTACCAACAATAGTTTTGTTAAAAAGATCATTAAGTACGCTTCCAAACTTTAATATAATCACTCTTGCATCGTAATACAATATGAAAGAAATAATACAAAAGGGCTCACCTCTCAAGTCTATTTTCATTTTGAATGCTATGAATACACGTATTTTAAGTATTTTAAGAGTCAGGGGCTTTTTTTTGCTGTTGTTTTTTGTTTTTGTTTTTGTTTTTTGTTTTTTTGAGATGGAGTCTCACTCTGTCACCCAGGCTGGAGTGCAGTGGTGTGATCTCAGCTCACTGCAACCTCCGCCTCCTGGGTCCAAGTGATTCTTCTGCCTCAGCCTCCCAAGTAGCTGGGACTACAGGTGCGTGCCACCACATTCTGCTAATTTTTGTATTTTTATTAGAGACAGGGTTTCACCATATTGGCCAGGCTGGTCTCGAACTCCTGACCCCATGATCTACCTGCCTTGGCCTCCCAAAGTGGTGGGATTACAGGTGTGAGCCACTGTGCCTGGCCAAGTGTCAGGTTTTAATCCTGTCCCTTCCATTTACTTGCTATATGGCATTGGACAAACAACTTTTTTAAAAACTAAAATGAGAACTTCAAATCAGATTATATCTAAGTTTACTTTCAATTCCACAATTTGAACATTTATTTTGAAATTGTTAAAAACAGAAAGTCACAAACCTCTTGCAACTTATCCTTGGAAGAAAAGTGAGCTGTTGTGCCAGAGATGATCATCCTTATGTCATATGAGCCCAAGTCAAATCTGAAAATAAAAAGAAACACCATAGAAAGTCATAGAAATACTGACCTTATGTTTATTATATCATGTATTATATTTTTAATGTATATTAATAACTATGTGATAAGCTTGTGTATTACAATAGATACGGTGAATTACCATAATAACATTCATCCAGTACAATTCTAAAGCTGTGAAACTTATCAAATTTTACTATAAAATGAAAATGTAGATACAGCTTCTTTGGGAAATATGGTTAGTTATTCAGCAATGTTTATGTTTAATTTTATGTTTCTGTTTAAAGCAGTGTTCCCTACTTTTTTTGTTACTACATACTCCAGTCAGTAAAGATTTTTTGAGCAAGAACTTCCCAATATACATATTTTTATTTATAAATTATATGGGCTGGGCGCGGTGGCTCACACCTGTAATCCCAGAACTTTGGGAGGCCGAGGTGGGTGGATCACCTGAGGTCAGGAGTTTGAGACCTGCCTGACCAGCATGGAGAAACCCTATCTGTACTAAAATACAAAAAAATTAGCTGGGCATGGTGGTGCATGCCTGTAATCCCAGCTACTCAGGAGGCTGAGGCAGGAGAGTCACTTGAACCCGGGAGGTGGAGGTTGCAGTGAGCCAACATGGCGCCATTGCACTCCAGCCTGGGCAACGAGAATGAAACTCCGTCTCAAAAAAAATAAATTAATTAAAAAAAATTATATGCATATGTTAAGGTATGGTAAAAAAATTAAAAGCATGAAATAAATAATGTATTTATTTAACTTTTTATACTATATATCATTTATGTTTATAAATTTATAACAATATAAAATTTAAAATTAGATAAGAAATAATAGACACTCTAATGTATTGCACTTCTTGCACACTTCCTCATCCCATTTTGGATACCACTGTGTTTAAACATTGTGTTTAGTGGGGCAATGTTACTTGGTTGAACTCTCATTCACGGCCACAGAATGCATCCTTCAACCCAATGTTTTATATATGGAAAACTTGTACTACAGGTCAAAGTGATTCATGTTGATAAAGCAGAGCACAGTTACAGCTCAGAAAAAAATATGGTTCCAAGTCTAGGCTCTGCACATGGTTGGGCAGGGGCATCATTTCCTGTTTAAAATGAAATCCACAGCATTGTAGATTAAGGCTGATCATTTCAGGAGGAAAATGACAATCATGAAAACAGACAAATCAATGGCTCAAGTAGAGTTTTAAAGGAAACATACACAAACATACATATTAAAGCAGTTTCTATTTGGTCTCATGTGGACGTCAACTCCTTGAGCATTTGGGAGAGGAGTGGAAATGTGCTTTTTGCTTACGCAAAGCTGTGTGAGGACTCTAAACCTTCCACGGCTATGAAATGAAAGAGAAGGAACTAGGAATTAATGATATCAGGGATGCTAACTGACCCTGACATAAACAAAGCAAATCATACCTCTCTGATTCAAGATATTTTCATATAAGTCATAAATGACATTTTAGATTTGGATGAGGAATGGCTGAATGCCTTATAGGGTTTTGTGATTGTGTGTGTGTGTGTGTGTGAGAGAGAGAGAGAGAGAGACAGAAAGCAATGCTGTCTTATACATTCCATTCCAACAAAATCTAATCATTATTGGTTATTTCTGAGGGATATTTTAGATCCAGGAACATATTGAAATGAGCTCCAGTTCTCCCCAAAGTTGAAACCCCAGAAAAGACTCAGAACCAAAACAATTTGGAGGGAGGGCTCCCCAAACACTCCTGACTAGGTTTCTTTCACCTGAACCAAGGTCTCCACTGTGCCACCTCCACAGGGGCTCTAGGGGTGAGGAGTAGCTCTTACCAAAATTCCTGAGATTTTCCCCCAGTACAAAACTGCATTAACAAATGAGGCCACATATGTGTGATGCACTATACAAGGCATCTTGGGATTCTTCTGGGCTGAGGAGAGAGCCAAGAAGGGATGGTGGGAGGGGGCTGATGACTGCATTTAATTCAACTCGGACTTGATGCCAGTGGTTTCTTGCCTGGACTGAATGAGAGAAGGCTGTTTCCCATTCCCTTATTCTCATGTCTCTCCCTTACTCCTGGACAGGATAATTTGGGCTAGGGAGTTTCAAAGTTGACTCCACTGAACTATTTGGATACAAATGGTATTATTTATATGCTTTGAGAAACATTTGATTACACTTGGTTTGAGGCAACTGAGACATCTGCATGGAAGAACAAACATTGGATGAAAATGAATACCAACTTTTTCAGAAGATGGGTCCAATTTTCTCTTACAAAATCCCATGCTAGTTGCTGCCCCTTTGGACGTCTGGCAATCGCATGAAGGAGAGCTGCCAAGTTCTGTGTCTTGATAACCTTTCCTTCCATTCCTAGTTCAATTAACCTGAAGAAAGAAAAATAATTTGTTTCTAAATAGTAGGTATTATGTACATGGACATTAACTCAAGCCACCAATATATTAAAAGAATAGAACAGAAAGAGGCATGATAAAAGTATAATTACCAATTTTTTAATGTTTCAATTAAACTTTTACTTTTTTAGAAATAATTTTTATTTTGTTCCTATCAAAAACATTTACTTATTATTTCAAATAAGTTTGATTAGCATCATTTACACATCTTATATGCAAGAATGTATTTTTACAACAATAATTTTTCTTCAAGTTTCTGAAGATAAAACATAACCGCTTGTCTAGTCTCAATCATATGATTAATAACTAGGGAATACCTGTTTTCACTATTTGCATTTTGTCAATATATTCTTTTCTGAAAGTAAAGTTAAAGCCATACACATTCTGATTCAATTATCTTATGCCTTTAAAACTGGTGGCTGAAGTTTTAGTGACTTCACTGAATTTGTGTCAGTTTACTTATAACAATTTAGTTAAATTATTGAACTTACTTCAGTAACTTTTCCTGATGCTTGCTCGTTGACAAAGCATACAGAATTTTGTTTTGTTCAGCACTTGACATTGACAGTTCATATTGCTCTAAAAGGTAATTCCATCCTGCTGTTGTCTGAGCACCCACAGAATACACAATCTTTAAAACATCTGTTGGTATACTGTAATATCAAGCATAAAAATGAAGAAAAAGTTTTATGAAAGAAAAACTTTTTTCTTATGACAATTTTAAGTCCTATAACACAATAATCTCTGAACTGCTTTCAGTACTCAATGTATTAAATCTTTTTCTCTGCCGAACTCTTATAAAAATATTTTATGTGCTTTTACTCTGCAAATTATTTGTGTTTTATCTCCTACTGATGATAAAATGTTAGCAAGAAAATAAGCATAAAATTTTAACCTACTCTGAGGTGAAAATAGAAAGTTGATGTAATCAACAAATATAAAAGCTTTCTGAAATACAAAACTACTGGTTTATATAAATTCTATCATTTAGTGGCCACTATTGGTGCTATAAGATTTTTTTTTTAAAGATGATTACTTGATGCTTTTTTATCACCAAGTTGAAGGCATTTTTTTCTTTTCTTTTCTTTTTTTTTTTTTTTTGAGGTGGAGTCTCACTGTCGCCCAAGCTGGAGTGCAGTGGCGCGATCTGGGCTCACTGCAGGCTCCGCCCCCCGGGGTTCACACCATTCTCCTGCCTCAGCCTCCCGAGTAGCTGGGACTACAGGCGCCCGCCACCGCGCCCGGCTAATTTTTTTGTATTTTTAGTAGAGACGGGGTTACACCGTGTTAGCCAGGATGGTCTCGATTTCCTGACCTCGTGATCCGCCCGCCTCAGCCTCCCAAAGTGCTGGGATTACAGGCGTGAGCCACCGCGCCCGGCCATTTTTTTCTTTTCTTTCTTTCTTTCTTTTTTTTTTTTTTTGAGACAGGGTCTTACTCTGTTGTTCAGGTTGGAGTGCAGTGGCGTGATCATGGCTCACTGTAGCCTCAGCCTCCTGCACAATCCTCTTGCCTCAGCCTCCTGAGCAGCTGTGATTATAGGCACATAGCACCATGCCCGGCTAATTTTTAAATTTTTTTGTAGAGATGGGCTCTCACTATGTTGACAAGGCTGGTCTCAAATTCCTGGGCTCAAGTGATCTTCTTACCCCTTGGCCTTACAGGCATGAGCTACGGCACTTGGCCTAGTTGAGAGCATTTTCTGAGGCCTGTCTGGGAGTCATCTGACTCTCTAGGCCTAGAGAGTCTTAATTTGGTACAATTCATTAGTGTCTAGTTATTTTATAATTTTTTAAAACTGTTAAGATGCAGTGACATGATTTTCTGTCCTTCTACAAAAGACACCACTATTTTGATTTTTATTATCTTGAGGACATTAACCAGTTTTTATTCTAAGTGGGCATATGACTTTTTAATCCCAAATGTCAACGGATCAATAAGAACTGTTATTGATGTCTCAGAAAAAACACAACACAGAGCATTGAGGAGGGAGCCAGAAATTTGCATTTGTCACAAAGTGACCATATGGTAGAGATTGTACTAGTCTCCATACCTCTTATTTAACTGTCAAAAGCTACCCTCTGAGATAGTTATTATCCTGATTTTTTTAAGCGGAAATAAATCTCAGAAAAGTTAAGTAACTTGCACAAGATGACATAATTTGCCATTTGCAGATGGGATTTAACCCTATGATTCTAATGCTTTGGCTACTTCCTCTATACTATATGTACTTAAATACCCCAAGTGACATTTGAATAATATAATAAAGATCAAATAATTATAATACATATTGTTTTCATTTTAGTGTATTTTGCTGAACAACTTTATAACAATTGGTAACAAACACATTGTAAGCTTCTTGAAGGTAGGCCACATGGTTGTTTTGTTCACCTCTTTATCCTTAGCTCCTACAGCAATACCTGGCTGGCATAAAGGAAATGTGCAACTAGTTACATTTCAAATCCACAAATGAATGAAGTAATCAATTAATCTATGTAAAGAAATTCTTCATTAAAATTCATACTAGCAATCTTGGAGTTTAGAAAAAACCAACAATATTTAATCACATATTTTTGATTGTGAGCATAAATAAGTTTACCTAGAATATTTTCATAGGTATATTCAACATGTTGAACACTTATATCTACTGTAGGTAGGTTACTGCAGGTTAAGATTATCTTTCTTGTAACTAGCATAAAGATGAAATAATAGTATTCTATTTTGTATAGGGCAGTAGGATGTTTACATTTTAGCTTCACTCATACAACCCATTGAAACAGAAACAAAAAGAAGAGAATAATAGATTTAAAAGGTTTTTTTTTAAGTTTTTTTTTTTCTAAAACTGATTTCAGGCTTGAATCCCAACAAGGAAAAAAAGTCCAAAAAGAAGAAAACTTGAATTACTTTTTTAAAAAGAAGAATTCAAGAAAGGATTTCAAAAAGCTCACAGATTTAGTTATAGCGAGAGAAGTTATGATACCATCTTATAATAATTTGGCACAGGAAAAGTTTTTTTTTTTTTTTTGAGACAGGGCCTTTCTCTGTTGCCCAGACTGCAGTGCAGTGAAGTGATCTTGGCTCACGGCAACTTCTGCTTCCCAGGTTCAAGCAATTCTCCCACCTCAGCCTCCGAAGTAGCTGGGATTACAAGCGTGCACCACCACACTTGGCTAATTTTTGCATTTTTAGTGCAGACAGGGCTTCACTATGTTGGCCAGGCTGGTCTTGAACTCCTGACCTCAGTGATTCACCCTCCTTGGCCTCCCAAAGTGCTGGGATTATAGGCGTGGGCCACTGCATCCAGCCAGCACCGGAATAATGGACACCATTACATTTCATGGTAGAGATTGTACTAGTCTCCATACATAGCACTTACAATGTGAGAGCATGAAACAGGGTTTGTAATGCCCAGCATGTTTTTTTTTCTATCCTCACTAAAAGGTTTTAGACCTAATGTCTTGCTTGATCAAAGACTTTTACATCAAAGAGAAAAGAACAAAGGGTAGGACAGAAGTCTACATCTACTTTAATTTTCCACTGGATTCCATCCACTGGGAGAAGAGTTCAGCAGCTTTCTGGATGCAAGGAGCATGGTTCAGGTCACAGGCCAGCTTCAAGAGAGCCGAGCGGAGCATCCTGTCCCAGACTGAGCCCTTGTCACTCCAGCTTTGCCTGTCAATCACTGGCTTAAAATACTGAAGAAGGTAACGCTGCAGAAAATATGAGATGGTTAACAGAGAGGCTAAATTTAGTCCTTAACACAGTTCTTGCCCATCTAAAGGGCTCAACTCTAAACTTTCTGCATCTTTCCCAATCTTTCCCCAAACAGTGTATCTTCGTATTTCTCTTATCTTTTTCTGGCTGTTACCCACCATACTTAGGAAACAGTTTTTGCATTTAAACATGGTTTAATTTCCTATCTGAAAGGGGAATATCAATGGATATAAAATAAAATCACCTTTAGTAGAGATGTTTTGCACATGATCCTGGTATCTAGCTCTTAGGATTGGCAATGGTAAAGAACAAGGGTCATTGACCATTACATGCTATCAGTCAGTCCCCCGAGCTGCTCCAGATTTAACCTCAAGGACTTCACACAAAACAAACTGAGCCTGACTGATACTCCAGACACTGTGTATTTACTTAATACATTTTCTAAAAGCAACACAAACCTTGAGGTTTTCAGAGATATCTGAAATATTCCTTCTGTCCATCATGTGGTAAAACGATTCCAAGTAACTCAGACCTTCGAGAAGTGCGGGGCTGCTTGTTTCATGTTGGAGGTAGTAAGTCATGTCAAGAGCTTTGTCTAGGGTCAGTCTCCCTGCACTGAAGTATAAAACAAATGTCAGTGGTTTGTGCATATCTTATAGTTTTTAATATTTTTAACATTAAAACAAATATGAAATAGAGAACAATAACAGAAGTAGGTCATTATAGCTGGGCCATTCAGTTTAAATCTTAGCTCTGCCACTGACTAGCTGAGTAATCTTGGACAAATTACCAAACCTCTCTGGACCTATTGCCTTCTTTATACAATGGGGATAATAATACTATCTTCCTCATAGGCTTGTTGTGAGGATTAATGACCTAATATTTTAAAAAGCATTTAGAATAATGTCTACCACATAGCAAAAGGTTAATAAATGAAATAAATATTAGCCAATATTAACATTTAGTACCAAATAATATCAAACTTTTTACACATGATTTCATTCTCTAATTGCTTCATGTGTGGGTTTGACTTGTTTCTCCAAGTACATTGGGAACTTTGAGGACAGGTGCCATGTCTTGTTTTTCTTTGATGTTTGTCCTTAATCCTATCAGAGAAGCGGTAATCATTGTGAATAGGACAAAACAAGTATTTTCATCTTTTAGATTCTAAAGTTACATGCCTTCTCTACGTTTTCTTCTAGTGAGAAGAATAAATAACAGGTTTATTATTCTAAGTACAAAATGCTGGGGCATCTTCTGTAGAGGAAACGAACGATTATAACCTCACTATTGGAAAGTGCTCCTCAGGTGTGTTTCTGGGAGGCTATGTTGCACACAGAGTCTATAAGCCATTCTTGTGAACACCCAACTCCCAGAATAACACAATCGTGTGATGTGGAAACTGATTCCAGAACAAAGGGTGTCTCCTCTGGGCTTATCATTAACATAGTGCTCTACCTCTTCTGGGCTTATACATGTTTTAAATTCCTGTCTAAAAAGAGGGAACAGAGACCAGAAGGAAATGAAAAAGAACCAACTTTTGTTGTCCCTTTAATCTTCTCAATCACGATGACTTGCTGCTTTAAAACAGACTTATGGAAATTTTTTTCAAAAATTTCACCTGAAGACGGAAGGCTGGACCATATACTCCATGATTCTGTGGTCTGCCATATATATATATTTTTTTTTTTTGAGACAGAGTTTTGCTCTTGTCACCCAGGCTGGAGTACAATGGCATAATCTCAGCTCACTGCAACCTCTGCCTCCTGGGTTCAAGCAATTCTCCTGCCTCAGCCTCCTGAGTAGCTGGGATTATAGCCATGTGCCACCATGCCCAGCTAATTTTTTGTAGTATTAGTAGAGACGGGATTTCACCATGTTGGCCAGGCTGGTCTTGAACTCCTGACCTCAGGTGATCCACCCGCCTCGGCCTCCCAAAATGCTGGGATTACAGGCATGAGCCACCTGGCCCGGCTAGTCTGCCGTATTAAAAAAAAAAAAATCCACAAAATGTTGCTACTCCTTCCCACCTGTGTGAGCAGCACAATACCTGGCACAGTTGATACCTTAGCATCAGCAATAGGCAGAAATGATATTCCAGGGCCACAATTTTAAGAAGAATATTTGACATATTAAAACTACTTTATATTAAGCCAGTTTTTCTTTCCAGCCCAGCCTAATTGATTTCTTACTAAAATCAATGCCATTATTAAAAATACTTACTTTTATAGTTGCCTATTTCTTTTAATTTTAATATTTATTCATAAGGGACTCCTTTTCTTTTTATATAGTTACTGAGTTGTTTAATTAAAAAATCTAAGTCCTCATTACTAACCCTATGCTTCAAAAAATGCATAGAATGTTATCTGAATGTTTGTTTAGCTTAAAGAATAAAACATATATAAACATAAACCTTAGCTCAACAGTAAAAGTCCACACCTACTTACTTGTATATGATTTCAGCTAGATTGTACCTTTGAGAAATAACATCATATTCTTGAAGCACCAATTTGGGTTTTCTGTTTTGTTTTGTTTTGTTTTGTTTTTGAGATGGAGTTTCACTCCTGTTGCCCAGGCTGGAGTGCAATGGCACAATCTTGGCTCACTGCAACCTCTGCCTCCCGGGTTCAAGCGATTCTCCTGCCTCAGCCTCCCAAGTAGCTGGGAAGGCACACACCACCATGCCCAGCTAATTTTTATAATTTTAGTAGAGACGGGGTTTCAACATGTTGGCCAGGCTGGTCTTGAACTCCTGACCTCAGGTGATCCACCCGCCTTGGCCTCACGAAGTACTGGGATTACAGGCGTGAGCCACTGCGCCCAATGTGGGGTTTTCTCTTTAAGGTGTGGGACTAAAAGAAACAAATATAGCTTTTTCTATAGGCAAATTGAAGTTGTCATTTCAATTCCACTCAACTTATCCAAGACCCCTGTCTTTAAATTACATTTAAAATGTATGAAAACCGAACTAAAATAAATATCAATTCTTGCATCAAATTCTCTCTCCATTCTGGGTGCAGTGGCTCACACCTGTAATCCCAGCAATTGGGGAAGCCGAGGCAGGAGGATTGCTTGAGCCCAGAAGTTTGAGACCAGCCTGGACAACATAGGCAGACGCCATCTCTGCCAAAAAATTTAAAAATTGGTTGGGCATGGTGGTGTGTGCCTGTAGTCCCAGCTACTCAGGAGGCTGAGGTGGGAGGATCGCTTGAGCCCAGGAGGTTGAGGCTGCAGTGAGCCATGATCGCACCACTGCACTGCAGCCTGAGTAAAGCCCTTGAAGAAGAAGAGCAAAGCCCTTGAAGAAGAAGAAGAGGAAGAAGTAGAAGAGGAAGAGGAAGAGGAGGAGGAGAAGGAAGAGGAGGAGGAGGGGGAGGAAGAAAAAAAAAAGAGACAGTGTCGTGTCGTGGTTAAGAGAATGGCTCTGGAGACAGCCCTTGGATGACAATGTCTTGTCCACTAAAGAACTAAATAGTATCACCTCTTGTAAAGATTGATTTACACTGGGTGTGGTGGCTCATGCCTGTAAACTGAGCAATTTGCGAGGCTGAGCAGAAGTGCTTGAGGCCAGGAATTCAATATCAGCCTGTACAATATAGGGAGACCCTGTCTCTACAAAAAAAAAAAAAAATTAAAAAGAAAAAAAAATTATCTCTCCAAACTAAATGTGATCACTATTGGTTCCTTTGATTCTTTTTTGTTTGTTTGTTTTTTGAGACAGAGTATTATTCGGTCACCCAGGCTGGAGTTCAGTGGCGTGATCTTCTGGGTTCAAGCGATTCATGTGCCTCAGCCACCCAAGTAGCTGGGATTACAGGCGTACACCACCACACTGGGCTAATTTTTTTATTTTTAGTAGAGATGGGGTTTCACTATGTTGCCCAGGCTGATCTCAAACTCCTGGCTTCAAGTGATCTGCCTGCTTCAGCCTCCCAAAATGGTAGGGTTACAGGCATGAGCCACTGTGCCGGGCCTCCTTTAATTCTTAAATTGAAGTTTCATAAAGCAGGGAGGAAAGTGGTTTATAGTATTGAGAAAGAACAGCAAGTAAAAATTATTTATTTTTATCTATTATGAGAGCTTTAAATTGTTTTCTTATACAATTACTTTTGTTATAAATGTAATATAAGTAAATATAAACAAATTTCAGAACAACTAGAAATTAGACTCATAATTACAAAACAACCAGAAATTAGAGAAGGCTCATAATTTCAATACCCTACACACTCAACAATAGCATTTTGAAATAATTCCTTCAGGTTTTTGTTTCCCCTTCGCACTTATTTTTTTCATTTGTAGTTGCAAACAAACATAATAATACACAGACTTACATTCTGCCTTTTTCTCAACTTCACATTATTTGAAGTGTACTTTTCTATGTTGTCATCTCCTCCTCCTATTCATGTCATGACATTTCAAATAATTTGTATTAGATAATACTAATAATGTTAACAGCTGACATTTATTGAGTAAGTACTGCACTTACTGCTTTATCTTCATTACCTATGCAATCCTCCAAACCTTGTATATCGGATATTATTAGTAATAAAGTTTTAAAGACTGGAAAATTTAGGCTTAAAAAGGTTAAAAAAACAAAACTTGTCCAAGCTCAAAAAATTAGTAAGTGAAGAGGTAATACCTGAAATCTTCTTGAAATTTTCATATAAAATTTGTATTCTTAACTTCATTAATCTGTCTACTTAGTGAAGAAAAGATGATTAGTTTTCCACCAATGCATCAATAACTGCAAATTTCCTCCTACTAAATTTAGACAATCTAAGTGGATAGGCTAGAAACAGCAAAAAAGATTTCACAACTACCTAAAAGATTAATTTGCTGAATTGTCAATATTCTCCATTTTTTCCAAGTCTTGCATTGTTAATCTATCTTCTCTTCAATCTACTCAGAGCTTCTCCTTTGAGCAGGCAAACCTCCTTCAACTAGCAATAGCTTGCTTCTTAGCTCACCTTTCATGCATTCACTCATATGTAGGATGGTGTTTTTCCTAATTTTGGCCTCCAATGAGCTATGCCTCCAAGATGTTCCTGAGACCCACGGGACTGAGGATTAAGCCTCACTTCCTCTTTTCTTTCTAACTAGAGGATTTTAGTGTACCGAGAAACTTTGTCTCAGAGATGTCCTGCTGGTCACTTTCACTCAATTTGACCTAAATAAGCTCCTGAAAGAAAATTATATGTCACATTGAGTAAAGTGAGTGCATCACAGTAATTCTCAGAATAGGGAAAGCTTGCAATGCACAATATACTTCCTGGTCCTCAATTCCCTCCAGCCATTGGTGATCTTGTGACCTGATTCATTCCACACATTATTCTGTTCATGATACATAGAAAAAGAAAGAAAACACTTTGTCCTTCCAGGAAAGTCTAGAGAGGAATGAATGCAAACAGCCATTTATTACTTCATTTCCCTACAAACGTCATACTAATTTCTCCAGTGTAAGTAATGAATAGATTTCATAACAACCCATTTAAAATTATAAAAGTTAAGACTATATTTGTACTTTTCCTTAAGAGATTACACCGGTATTTGGTGTAGCAGCTAATAACATAAATACATTTTAAATGTGGGGTCGAAAGCTCAAATACTTAGAGAGTCCACACTAAGTGAATGAAACAGGCCATTTGGGACTTTGGTGCTTGGGAGAAAGTAGGCCTGGCCTAAAGAGAGTTTGGCCCACTGCACTCTCCTTTATAGCTATCCTGTGGCCCACAGGATAAAGACCCACAGTTGCCAAATATCATTTTTAAGAGATTCCAGAGGTCAGGATTTTTAGGTAAAGTTCTCCACATTTTAAAATATTGGATTACAATTATAAACACTGTGTGGGTCAAAATACGTTATTAGTGGGTAGTCTTTGGCCTAGTGATCACTGTTTGAATTCCATTCAAATCCATATTAAATCAATGACCAATGTTGAACATTCAATATTGAAGTCTAGCATATCTGGTTACGAATCAGTTATTTTGCATGAAGTCAGAGGAAATGTTGCCTTACCCAACTAGCTGAAACACATCATGAATCAGACCTACTCTGTCCTTAGGTCTGAGAAGTGTGTGGTTCTGATTCAGCTGTGTAATGAGTTGGTCCCATCCATGACCCTCATAGTGAACGATGTAGTAACCATTTGAGTCCACATTAAATTTCACCCAACTGGTCTTTTCAGGTAGATCCAGAGTATCTAAGAGGATAAGATTGGCATAGGCATTTTATTATCAACAAACTTATTCAGAACATCTCCAGAACTGTTATTTTTAATCAAATTACTTATAAATCAATGGGAAGATGAAGTTTGGGGAGAGTCATAATGATATTCATTTTCGTAGTTCACTGGATGATTTCTTTTGGAAAGATGGTCTTATTAAATTAATAAATAAGTTAATTCATAGGAATAAGACTGCTGAATTTGTTCTAAAAAATTGTCTATGCAGGTCTAAGAGACATGCAAGGAAGGGCCCAGTGAGCCAGATGACTAGCATGACGGGAATTTGGCTTAATTTGATGATGTCCTTGTCTCAAGGTTTAGTCACTAGTCATTGAAATATGTATGTGTAAATAGGTGATCCATTTGTTCATTTTAGTAAAGAAGGACTCCAGGTTAAGCATGACTTTGTGACGGAAAACCTCTCAAATTTTATTAAAGTGTTTAGAAGAAAATTAAAATTATACTATGTATTTTTAATGTGGCATATATTATACTAGAGGGTAAAATTACATTATAATATTCTCTCAACAACTCTGTGAGGTTTAGTCTTTATTCAACATAAGATGAAAAAATTGAAGCTCAGGATGAGTGTGTACATTTTCTTAAGGTCACACATCTAATAAGTGAGAGAGTGAGGACTTGAATCCAGAAGCAATCAATTTTAAAGTATGTGCTTTTTTCCACTGAACATTTTTTGCCTTATCCATAACCTGTAAAAATAGATTAGTGGGTATTATAAGACATAAGATAGATTTCTGTTATTTCTTGATGTAAATAATCTGTCTCTAAATGATAAAAGCGCAAGAGAACTTCCCACTGAATGAAAAATCCAGATTTTCTTACTAAAAGAGTTATTTTAGTAACATATGGATAAATGACAACTTCCCTCAAATATAAATCTTTTATTGTTAGATTTACTTATTGTATCGTTCCTTCAAATAGCTCAACACATGTTTAATTTCCACATTGAAATACCTGTTTGGCTAATTAGTTCATTACCTGTCTTTGATTTTAGAATGTGTCTGTGGATCACATTAGAAGAACTCGTGGAGTAGGTCAATGGGATATGCCACAGGTACCTATGACAGAGAGTAAAGATAGTTACAGACCAAAAGAATGCTGCTGTGATTTTTCACATTGTCAGACTCAGACAGACTGTAAAAGGCACCTAAGTACCCATCATCCTTCATACTACCCACAAGTGGTCTTATAAATTTTATAGGCTAAGACTAGCATATCCTTAAGTATGCAAAAAATTATTCCATGATAATTATAAAGGAGCAGCCATATCTACCTAGTTGAACTCTGCCACAAATACTTGTGTCATTTGCTGTCCTAATCTCATACCATAACAATTTCTGCTGTTTGTATGGGAAAGAAAATCCAATATTCCTTTCACATTTTCAAAAACTGCCAGCCTGATGCTGATTCAAATAACTAAACCAAGAACTGAAGTTCTCAAGGCTGATGGAATCACTAAGAATGGTGCTCCTGAACAAAGAAGTCCGGGTTATATGAAGCTCTTTAAATCTTATCAAGTCTACTTTAGGCCTTTGATTCTTATATGGAACTAGCATCCTACAAAGTTGCCAGATGAGCTGAGAGAAAGCTAAGGAAATAACGAGGAAACTGAGATGAGGTAAGCTAGACCTAAAGAAGAAAAGCAGCCACCTCTCCTGCAGGGCCCTCCATTCAGGGTCTTCCTGGAAAACCCCCTGGAGGAAGCGCTCCTGTTGCAGTCGGAGTGAACACCCGTCTTGTTTAACCACCAGCAGGGGGATTCCTTTCTGGAGAGTCCATGTAGTCATCATCTCTTTGACCTCTGCATTTTCCCCCAGAAAGGCGAGCTGAAATGACAGGTGACTATGATAACTCAAGAGAGAGGAGACAATCCAAAGACAGAGGGACAGAAACTTCCATCTCCTTGGATGCCAGAAACAAGGCTTGGGGAACAGAAGACTCGGACTGGTATCTCAGGGAAGGGTAATCCAGGCAACTGGATTAGGGATGGCTATCCCAGGGCTGCTCTCTGCAAATTACTTGAATTGAGGGATATATACAGGATATAGTAGGGTGAATACATGGCAGGAAAAGCCAGTGAAAAGGAGGTTGAGACTGGAGTCTCTTTCCTGACCCCTTTCAAAAACAAGCAAACAAACAAAATCAAACAAACAAACAAACAAAACCCTCAAATAACAGTAGAATCCAGGAGGGGTGGTTTACGAGGGAAATATCTGTCTTTAGGGAAGCTTTAAATATTTCAACAGAACAATTTAATATCAATAGAGGTGTAGTGAATGGAGAACAAAACCTCTGGCTGCTGCACTGCTAGTATGGGTTTCTGATCACTGGATGATGCTGAACCTTCCTTTAGAAAACACAATTTAGGGCCAGGCGCCGTGGATCATGCCTGTAATCCCAGCATTTTGGGAGGCCAAGGTGGGCGAATTGCCTGAGGTCAGTCTGGCCTACATGGTGAAACCCCATCTCTACTGAAAATACAAAAAAATTAGCCGGGCATGGTGGTGTGTGCCTGTAATCCCAGCTACTTGGGAGGCTGAGGCAGAGGAATTGGTTGAACCAGAGAGGTGGAGGTTGCAGTGAGCTGAGATTGTGCCACTATACTCCAGCCTGGGCAACAGAGTGAGACTTTGTCTAAAATAAATAAATATAAATTTATGTATATATATATTCAGGGGATTAGCATGACTCTTTGTTTAAATAAAAAGTTTTCCTTTCTTCCCCTGTGATGACTTTCTTTTCTCTTTCCTGTAGTGATTCTATAACTTCCCAGAGGTAAGGAAAAAGAAAAACATATACTGTATTTCCAAACCTAACAGCATACTTATTTTGGCATTTTTCAGAGCTTAAGGGATGCCAATGCAGTAGTAACCACTCAAAAACATTTTGCGCTGAGATATTTTTAGCTAGCAGTGGGGTTGTGGGAAAGCCGAACTATAACAACAAAAATATAGTAGCAACAGCATTGTCCCCCTAAATACCCCAAGCATTTCCCCTTCAGTTTTGTTTTAGAGAAAATCGTGGGGGCTCTCTTTCTCTCCAGCTTTTAAAAGGGACAGGTGGGCTACTCTGTATGTCATACTCACTCTAGGTCAGGCTATTCCACAGATCTCTTCTACTCTGTGACTCTCTTTATCCTTACCATGTTACTTGTCATCTTGGGATCCGAATGACAAACTCCACCAGATGTAAAATCACTTTCTAAACAACTCTACAAAACAAGAACAAAAGAGCACTGCAATGTAGGCATCATTAGTTGGCTGAACGTGCACATTAGCCATGGATGCAGGCATTTATTAAAAGAGCTATATGAAATAATTCATCCAGACATGATAATGAACATAAAAATGGAAAAAAAGGCATGTTTGCAGTGACCTGGGATAGAAGTCCACAAAAGTTATTTCTTTGTGTTATATATACGCATGTGTAAAGTTTCCTTAAAAAGTTCAATAAAGTCATTAACCGTTCTAAGGAAGAATCAATTTGTTGAATTTTCTATCCAATTCTTCTCTTTCCCTTAAGAAAGGTCCTATTTTATTATTTCATGCTGCATGTTATGTATGCCCCTATTTAGCATGTAGGCAACTCTGTCTAGTACTGTTAACTCTCCCCTGACATATTACAAGTTCTTTGACAGTAGGGGAAACACCTTTGTTTACCAAGGTATTCCTACAGTGGCTATCACAACAGCATGTGATGAGTGTACAATATTTCGAACTAACTGGGAATAAAATAAGAATTAAGAAAAGTACCAACTTGGCAATTGACCCTTGAATAACCAGTACTTAAGGGCAACTGCAAATGAGAAAAAATGAAGAATGTGCTAAGGCTCTCAAATGCCTTTAAATGATCTTATGAAAAATAACAGCAACTAATTCTTCTCATTCTCAAGTTGCTATTGACATGTATTAGAATTGACTTTATGTGACACAATGGTGGGCAAGATATTTTCAGTAATTTATTATTTTAATACTACAGGGCCCTTTGGTGTCAGAAGAGAGTTGGTCAAAATCTAGGACCTTTAGGGGAAGATTGATGGGGGACTTTTCTTAAAACTAGGAACTAGCTGTGATATAATTGAATAACTATTGGACTTAGAAGACAAATTTTAAGTACTGATTTTCTCACTGACTTGGTGACTTTGGGCAAATCTGTCCCTTAGTATCAGTTTTCTCACTTATAAACACAGAGTAATGATGATTACTTTATCTTTTGAGATGATTATAAGCATGATGTGACAAAAAATAACACAGGAATTTACACTGCTGGCCTAAAATGATCTGGTAATTGCTGGCCAAATTTTCTTTTTAACTCCCACCCTCTACTGCCAGTATGCACACCAAATGATAGATTCTTCCGTGTTGGAGGGGAGCTAAACTGATGTCTACAAATATACATACATGCACACACACATGGCAAGGGAGAGGGAAATGGAGAGGGATGAGAGACAGAAGCAACACAATACTTGGTGCTGAGAAGCTTAAGCGGAAGCATGGAGAAAGTGTGTCTGGACCACTGACGGTGGGTGATGGAAATGGATAGTAAAGAGCATCTTTATATGTTTTTTGTTTGTTTGTTTGTTTTGTTTTGTTTTAAGACAGAGTCTCACTCTGTCACCAGGCTGGAGTCCAGTGGTGTGATCTCAGCTCATTGCAACTCCGCCTCCTGGATTCAAGTGATTCTCCTGCCTCAACCTCCCGAGTAGCTGGGATTACAGGTGATCCACCAGACCTGGCTAATTTTTTTTTTTTTTTTTTTTGTATTTTAGTAGAGATGGGTTTTCACCATGTTGGCCAGACTGACCTCAGGCAATTTGCCCACCTCGGTCTCCCAAAGTGATGGGATTACAAGCATGAGCCACCGCACCAGGCCTATAAGTATTTTTGTAAGTAAAAACTATGTATTTGAATATGTCTCAGGATTTTCAAGAAATGCAAGTAAAAAATAGGAGCTGTGAAATAATTTTTGATTGTTGGATTTTGTTTCTTTAACCACAAAATCACACATCAGTTGGACCATAAGTGTGCTTTATAAGGGCACAAAAATATCAAATGAGATAATCAACATGAAAGTGCTTTTTATTCTTTAACTTTGATTTTTTATTTATTATTAATTATTGTTATTATTATTATTATTGAGACAGAGTCTCACTCTGTCACCCAGGCTGGAGTGCAGTGGTGCAATCTCGGCTCACTGCAACCTCCAGCTCCTGGGTTCAAGTGATTCTCCTGCCTTAGCCTCACGAATAGCTGGGATTACAGGCAAGCACCACCATGCCAAGCTAATGTTTGTATTTCTAGTACAGACGGGGTTCCACGAATTGGCCAGGCTGGTCTCAAACTCCTGACCTGAAGTGATCTACCCACCTTGGTGTCCCAAAGTCTTGGGATTACAGGCGTGAGCCATTGTACCCGGCCATGAAAGTGTCTTTAAACTGTAAACTGCTGCAGAAATATTAAACAATATTATTACTGTCCCTGGGACACAAGTGCTTGTAAAAAAGAAAGGATCTCTTCTGTCTACAATGACTTAGGGTTCTTCTAATTACAGGTATGAGTTCTCTGGGTCTAATGGTTCTATAAAAAATTATTTTCTTTGCAGTTGGAAATTTTAAAATATTTTAATAATTATTAGAATCATCTGAATTAACTGAATTTTTCTGCTTTGCCTTTCCTATTATCTACATGAATCCCAAAGACAGACCATAAGTTCTTTAATCAATCATTAACTGCTTATTAATCACTATTATAAGATCAACATATGCTAGGTGCTATCACATTAAAAAAAGAATAGACACAATTTTTGTTCTTAAGCACATTATCATTATTGAACTAATAAAAACAATAAAAGAGGGTACTATTATGTGGAACAGATTATAAGTGCACTGCTAAGAATTTAGCAGACAGGCAAACGAATGAGGGCTGGAACAGTCTGTAAGGAGGAGGTGAAATCTCAGCTGGATCTTAAAAGTTGGGTGGCATTTGAATTGTTGGAAAGAAGAAAGGGCATTTCAGCTAGTAAAGGCACTAGAAATATAGGCACAATGATCTAGAGATTGAGCAAGATTTCTTCTTATAAGAGAGAAGATTAGTTTTGCTCAACAAATATATACACATTGGGGAATACAGTTGACAACCTTAAAATTTGCCAGAGATTAGGTGTTATATGGTAGAAATTACAACATTTTAAAGATTTTAGATCAAGGGAACATAAAAGTGTAGGATTAGTCGTAGAAGAGAAACCAAAGAAAGTCAGGTCAAATAGTGAGCCCCTGGGGCCACCCCAGCGTGACATCCTAGTGTGGTGTTAGAGGAAAAAGGGAAGTGCTGCCTTCTATAGACCATGACAACATAGCAAGCAGAATAAATATGGTTGACTGACAATATATAGCTATTTATAAACATTCACAATTATTCTGTTACTTTCTAGATTAAATAACAGTCTATCGTTACCCAACATATGACTTACATTTGACAGACTGCTCCACAAGTCATCATTCTTAGCATTTCTATAGCTGAACTTCTTTAAGTACTGAATTATTCCTTTCTGGAATTTCTCCTCACCCAGAAAATCCTTGAGCATATTCAAAATACAAGCTCCCTTTAAAAAAAAACAAAAGAGTTGAAAAAAGAGATAAAGAAAATGGTAGTATGGTATGTTTTTAAAGGAAGCTTAAATTTTACGGAACATGTGTGATGTCTGAAAAGTGAACAAATAAAAAGTGAAACAAGTAGCAGGAACTGGCACCAGTGACTTAAACTGCTGATTCTATAGTCATTATTACACTTCTGAAAGCAGAGCTTCCACCTGCACCTGATATTTACTACCTTGTTATAGGAAACTTCATCAAACATTTCCTGTATTTGAGTCGGGGTTTCCGCTGGTTTGGAGATAGGGCGGGATGAATTCAATGAATCTTTTGTAATTACTTCAAAACACACATTCAAAAAATAGTCATCCTAAACAGGGAGAAAAATGTTTAGTTTTAGTTTCTATTTGACACTGTAAAAGCAATAGAAAACATAGTAGGTTTAGTAAGATGTTCTTAGAGGTAAGATTTCAATCGATATTTCTTGGGAGATGTTTCTTTTCTTGTATGTATTCCCCTTTGGCCAAAGGGGAATACATCTTTTTAAAGTTTCTCTACTTTAAAAAGATACAAATCCAATATTCCTTCAGACATTGCCTGAATGTTTATCATGTACCAGCCCTTGAATACAGAAATAAAATAATGGTTTCCATTTAGTGAATACTTGTTACGTGCCTAGACCTATCATCTGCAATCCTGTCAACACCTCTGCAAGGGAGATATGGTATATGCATTTTACAAATAAGAATATATAAAGCTTTGGCATTAAGCCACAAATTCAGTACATACACAGTAACAAGAAGAGCCTAACTTTGAATCCATGTCTGTCTATAGTGTACTGGACTAAATATATATCCCAAAGACCTAATTAACCATTACTAACCACCTTGATATGCAAATTTGTGTAGTGTTCAGACCACTATATTCGTTTTTAAAAAAGACGTACCTGAAGAAATCCCTTCACACATTTTGGGGAAGCCAGCAGACCCTTTGGAAATTCTAGAAAAGTACACCCCCAATGATGTTGATTTCAGGTTACATGCCGAGAACTCTCTATAGTACCTAGTAGCCATGAGCATTCCTGTGCAGATGTATACAAACAGTGATGTTCTTTCCTCTCAACCCACATACACAGTTCTACATTTGTATTAGTTTGCCTTCTCTCTTTACAGACTTTGGGGTGACAGATTTATGTTGATTGTTTTCTAAAACCTTCAATGTTTCATCCAGTTCTGTGATCTGTTTCGTGTATCAAACAAAATGCCATATGTTCAAAAACCACAACATTATGTAGTTTTTCTGTTTAACATTCACTTGAAATTTTAATAGTGAATTGATGATTCTTTACACCATATAGTATGATACACAGAATTGTGAACTTACAAATTGCAGCTCTGGATATGTAGCATTAACAGCGATAAGTTCCATGTATTTTGCAAAACCCTCCTTAAGCCAAATATCATTCCACCATTCCATTGTGACCAGGTTGCCAAACCACTAGGAGGTAAAAACTCAATATTATTAGAAGTTAAACAAATAAAAATTATTAACTTTAGCAAAAAATACAATAGTTACTAACTTTTTTTTTATTAGTTAGGATCTCTCTTCTCTCTTTGCTACCCTTTTCTCTCTGTACAATTTTCTTCTACTGATTTCCTTGCCTTCTTATTCTCACCACCACATTTTTGCTTGGTTTTCTTTTTTCTTTTTTTTGTGTGTTCTCAATGCCCTTAACTCTTCGACTTTCATTCTATCTGCCCAACATTTCCTAGTTATTAGATTTAATATTAAGAAAGAAAATGGAACACTTTATGGAGGTAGTTTTTTTCTTTCCTGCCCAATAAGAACAATCTCACCTTGTCCTTGATATATGATGATGTTCAAGGGAGAAATATAAATCCAAGTGTCCTGGGTGAAGTTATCTTTTTATATTAAGTAGCAGGTACTTAGGAGAATCATAAGAATTCATTTAGGGCTCTCAGGTTGTTATATAATATTACTGAAGAGCAAATTCAGTTGTTAACCTCTGCCCCTGACTTACTTCAGTGGGCCACTAGAAACAATAAAGGTCTAAGATTTAAAAAATATATAAATCAAATAAAAAGGATGCATAAATATAATTGACATATTTACCCTTTACCTATATTTGATCTGTATTATGCATTTTAAATATTACTATTCTTTTATGTGCTTTTATGTTTTATTTATTTAGTCTATATGCCTAATACTGCACATCTAGTGTATGTCTCTAAGATTAAAATCTCTAGACGGACCAAAGCTTCAACAATAAGATTCTAAGATTCAGAAGAGCCTGGTTATAGTTACAGAACAGAAAATTATAAGTCTGTAGCTTCTAGAAACAGTTTAAGCACTATTCCTTTTCTGACAGTCTTCAGATTACTTTACAAGTGGGCAGCAATCTTCTGAAGGGCATTCATGGAAAGGGAGAGGTGTTTCCTCAATTTGAAAACCGGTGAATATAAGAAGTACAGGATAAACTGATTCTAGCCACTTTACCAGTTAGCAAGACTAGTTTATTCATTCATTCAGTAAATACCTACGGAGAACCTACTGCGTTCCTGGCACCATGCCATATGTTAGAAATACAAAGATGTATATAATATAGCCACTGCCTCAATACAAATGATGGAGGTCAACCAGTAGACAAATAAATACAGTAAAGCAGGTGCTAAGATCAATGTCTTTGCCAGGGACAGAGGGGATTCCAGGAGGAAATAATCAGTTTTGCCAGGACAGTGTTCATTTCCTGAGCCTTGTAAATAGTACTCAGGTATGCTGAATATCAGGTAGTAGGAGCAAAGGCAGAGTGATACAACCTGGCATGTTCAGAAAATGGCAGGTAATCTTGGATGGCTAAAGCTTAGGTGTAGGCAAGAGATGAGGATGGAGAGGTAAAAAGGAGCTGGGTCATGGGAACCTTGTATGCCAAGCTAAGACAGTTGGCATGAGGAAATCTTTGCCAGGGTTATGCACAGAGTGACATGTTAACATGGTAATCAATGGGAAGACAAAAAAGTGGGGGCAAAAATTCCAGTGCTGTTTGCTGCTTCAGCACTTGACTGCATCTCCGTGGAAGAGAAGCTATTAAAGGGAGGGCCAGAGGGAGCATGGAGCCTCAGAGGTAGAGCTCACAGAGCACTTCCCTACAAACAACTGGCAGAAAGATTAGAAATCCCCAGACTCAGTTAAGTGCTTTAGAGCTCCTGGTGACTCATGATCAAAACACCTAAAATGCGCCAGTGGGGAGATTTTGAACCAAAGGAAGCAGCCCATGTGTTCTCGAAGCACAGTGTTGAGCATGGCTCTCTGTGTAACAGAGTATTTAGTTCACTGCTTTAAAGAACAACAGCTCATTATTGTGGTGACGATAAAGGATAAAGTTAAAATGTTTTAAATAAGAGATTTTACCAGATTCTACAACAGAATGATATTTGCCCACTTGGTGAAAGACAATTTTGGTGACTTTAATAATTTACTGCATTACTGAGAGTTTTCAGAAATGAAATAGAGGGAATAGTCTCCAATATCTATAGACCTAGTTTTACAATTCCACATTTGTATGTAATACAGTGTTGATAGATGGCCCTTAGATAAGTTATTTTGCAAGAAATAGTAGTATTTCTTGTAGTTGTAGTGGCCGTTGTCATCATCATTAATAACTAATACTTATTGAGTGCTTACTATGTGATCCGCACACTTTCCCTATCCATAATCCTCAGAACAGCTTTATGAAACAGAACTATTATTAACTTAATTTTATAGATGGGGACACTGAACTTCAGAGAGTTAGGTATGTGCCCAGGATCATCAACCCATCAAATTTCACTTGAAGTATTTCATTATGGCCATGTAAGCACAGGTTCCAACTGAAGGAAGAGTGATTTTGCCCTAGATTGGAATGCCAGAGTACCAGGGGATATAAGGAGAAATATTTTTAGTAGAAATCTTTATTTGTAAGGTTTCCAATTCTGTGCTTCATGTGTCTGTATAGTCACTTCCCTTCTTTTCCCAAATGACATTTGAAGGCTTTGCTTTGAAAGGTTTTAGAGGATAAATTTAATGGCTACTTCTCGTAATAAAATTCCAGTATGCACACCACAGTTCAGAGACTGAGTACTGTGCTACTTGACGTTGTGTTAGGTTTAGTAGTCTCTAAGTTCCCCTCTAGAGGTAAATGAGATGATTTATTTTGTTTCAGGAAGATTGGTCGTGTTCTATATAATGTTATTTTGAACTGATATCGAGATAATGTCATGAGTGCCAAGTACCTGGTGCGCCAGTTCATGGGCTATGACTCTGGTGACCCACAGTTTATCGGAAGCAGAAGAGGTCTTGGGGTCAAAAAGCAGTGACGTCTCCCTATATGTAATGAGGCCCCAATTTTCCATGGCTCCAGGTGCAAAGTCAGGAATAGCAATTAAATCTAAGAAATAAGAACAACCATACTTGAGTTTTATGGCTCCCACACCAGAAATAGAATTTGCTCTCTGCTCAAATACACTATGATCCTTTAAGCATATTTAAGCAGACTTTTTGAAAACATCAAGAATATCTTAACATTGACAGGGTGTCTTATAGTTGCGCTGAAAATAATCAGTGCCCATTATCAAGTGGAATAAGTTGTACAAAGAGTTTTGTAGATGAAGTAACATATGGACATTTAACCATTTTCTTCCTGAAAGTGCTGAACTCTGAAAATATTTTGGGTGCCTTACTGCCAAGAAAATAATTTATTTAAAACAATCATATTGTGTTTTATGTTAGTACTGCTGAAAACTTTAAAAAGGGTATCAAATAATTTCTAATATGTTTGAGATTCATCAAAACGTATAATGAACTTATTTTTAGAAAAAACAAAAAGATGCATGATTTTAATTTCAGGAGAACACCTCTTAGGAGCCATCTCTATAGTCAATATTTCGATTGATATTTCTAGCAAATATAGCCTCTATTATGAGCACATGTTCTTCTAAGACAGCAGAGGAAAAAAGCTCTGGGAATTGATTCTGACTTCAATTTCCTTTTCAACACTGATATTTCCTCTACTTCTTAAGAAAGTGTTGTGGGGGGAAAAAGTGCAATCTAATGATTTAAACAACTCAGGTATAATGCACTAATTTGCATTACGTGTGTGTGTGTGTGTGTGTGTACCATATATGTGTGTGTGTGTGTGTGTGTGTGTGTGTATATATACCGTATATGGGCATATATATATATATATACACACACACACACACATATATATATATACCTGTATATGTGTGTGTGTGTATATACATATATATGTACCTGTATATGTGTGTGTATATGTATATGTGTGTGTGTATGTATACACATATATATATATATACACATATATATATACACACACATATACATATACAGGTATAAATGTATGCGCATGGTTTACTATCCTTTGCTAATGATTTCACGTAGGCTAAAAAATTTCTGGCTAATATTTAGTCTTTGAGTTCTGCTAGCTAAAATGTTCTGTTTAGCTGGAAAAAAAGATAATTTTTTAAAAGTTTGAAATGAACCAAGTCACTTGGCTTATAATTACATTGTCTGGAGTTAATACTGGTTAATTCTAGTACATTAAAAACAAGTATACATAACACAATCAAAAACTAAATTAGCGCTAATAAAGATTAGTATTCGTTAGCACTTCAAATGTGGGAATGACTTTTCTTCTAAATCGCATTGATGATTTTATAGTAGTGGGACTTATATCTGCTCTATTTTTTCCTAAGCTGCATGCTTCTTTTCCGTTAGTCTTAAAGATATTTCATATGCTCTTTAAGACTGCATTTTTCAAGAACAACATTAATATTGTTGATGGCTGTTATTAATCTTTCCTTGACTTTTGATCTAAAGTACAGCAGTGAATTACATATAAATGGGATTTAGTATATCTGTACTAAAGAGTATATAGAACCTGCACAATAATAGCAGAGTAAGACTCAGGAACTATCGAAATAAGTCCCTGGATATAGCTTTTAATTTTTTTAAGCCTGGAACTGTATGCCAATTGATGGTCCCTTTTAATTTATGTAAGGAAAATGCATTGGAGTTGAGGGCAAGAGGCGAAAAAGGACAGGATAAGAAGTATATCCTAAATTCCAAAGGAAAAAAATTGTTTTGTCACTGTCAGAAACCCCAAGCACTAATCTTTATATGCTATGAAACTTTCTTCAGTTTTTATATGCTCTACAACAGGGGTCCCTAACCCTAGGGCTGCGGACCAGTACCTGTCAATGGCCTATTAGAAACTGGGCTGCATGGCAGGAGGTGAGCGGTGGGCGAGAGAGCATGACTGCCTGAGCTCCGCCTCCTGCCAGATCAGAGGTGTCATTAGATTCTCATAGGAGCATGAATCCTATTGTGAACTGCGCATGTGAGGGATCTAAGTTGCGTGTTCCTTATGAGAATCTAATGCCCAATGCTCTGAGGTGGAACAGTTTCATCCAAAAACCATCCACCCAATCTTCGTGGAAAAATTGTTTCCACAAATCTGGTCCCTAGTGTCAAAAAGGTTGGGGATCGCTTCTCTACAACCTTCTAAAAATAACGTTTTTTATTTTTTAAGATAGAAAATTAAAAGCAAGATAGACTATGAGTATCATCTCATGTAAAGACCTACTACCACAACCAAATGATCTGTTTCCTGCAATTTTTTAAAAATCTGTTCCACAGTCTTACCATCCAACCTCAGTGCCCAACACAGATAACGGATGGAAGCATAGTTTTCAGTTCTCTCTCTACATAAACTTTTGACAACTTTTATAAAAGATTGCTGACCTTGTACAAATAAGGTATGGTGATTCCTCCAGAAATCCCTCTAATTCTAATATGCAATGCGTGTGTGTGTGTGTGTGTGTGTGTGTGTGTGTATGTATTTTTTAATGGAAAATCCATTCTCTAATCAATGCTGCTGGGCATAGAAGAGCAGCACGATGGGAGGTGTGTTTCCCTCCCACAGAAGAGGAGCATAATGGATGAGAGCGTTGATGTCCGCCACAGGGAGCCACAGCATCTTGGACATGTGGACCCCTATTTTGAACAGAGCAGTCACTGTGTTCCTTCTTTTTCTCCCCATCTCTTTCCTGGACCCTCTACCTGGCTTCCGTCCCAGCCTCCAGTGTGTGCCCTTTCTGATCAGCCTGGGAAAGAGTTCGATGCAGATATGTTAACGTTAAACCTGATAAAAGAATAGAGAAATGATCCACACTGTTGGGGCATGTCATAAATATTTTATTTTCTACACTCAAGAATCATCTCTGAGGAACAAATTATTTTTTCCTGAGCTAACTGAATTCCTCAGTGCTCATTTAAATCACATAGAAAGAGAAAGAGGGAAGAGATCAAAGCAAGTTTTATGAGCAAAAATGAAGACAATAATGTGGAATTTGAACATACCCAGTTTGGAGAGTGGATAGTAGATATCAAAGTACTTTTCATAAAAATCAAGTAGCTTCAGTGATGCCTGCAAAGCATAATGTGTTTGATTCCGTTTGTCTGGGGATGCATAGATGGACACCTGGGAAATGTGGATCAGAAGAGGTTTTTGAATGACAGCTCCCTGGCATAATTCCATTCCTGATAACCCTCTCACACAGAAAGGCAGACTGTATCTTTTCAAGAAAGTATTAAGATACCATTAAGCATGTTGTCAATAAGGATAAGAGGTTCTGTGAAGTATTAAAGCAAAAGTCAGTCTTGAAAATTACAAACACCCTGAATCTTCTGTTACAATCCATTTCCTCAGTGCTCATCTGTAACTTTCAAATCATGTTAACCCATTGTATCATAATCCAAGTATATCATAGAGAGGAACCCACTTGAGTTCGTCTCTATGATATACTTTAACACTTGTCAACTAGCTTTCCAAAATGATGACCACAAACACAATTCAAATAAAACATAGGTTTCTTCTAGACCTATGTGGGAAGCCATGAAGAACTTATTGGATCCGCCCTCTGTCAAGCTTGCTTTAAACTAAGAAATGCTCAAATATGTTCAATGGCTCCCCCAAAGAAATTAGCTATCAAGTAGAAAAAATAGAATTAGATTCAAATTTTCTTGCCTTCCAAGTATAGAGCTACTTTTATTTCATGACCCACTTTTATGTTCTGAATTAACTGAAGTCCTTCAAAACTTTTATGCAGAAAAAATGTAAACGGCCACCATTTTTTGACAGTTTACCAGGCACTGTGCTGAATGCTTACGTATAAAATCTAATTTAATACTTGTGCCCACTCTATGAAGCAGGTGCCATTTTATAGGTGAAGCAATAAAAACACATAATGATTTAGTAACTTGCTCCAGATCACCCAGGCTGAAAGTTGTAGAGCTGGGACGTGAATCCAAAGAGGCTGACAGGAACCTGTCCTCTGAAGTGCCATTCACCTCCTGCACATCCATGTCTATGCATAGACATCCATGTCTAAGTGCAGAGGTGCCATGATGTGTATGTGTGCTACACAACTCATATATCTACATATTCATGAACATAATACATATGTAAATTGTAATAGATACTTTATACAGATTTTTCTTTTTTTTTCTTTTATTCTTTTCTTTCTTTTTTTTTTTCTTTTGAGATGAAGTCTCACTCTTGTCACCCAGGCTGGAGTGCCTGGTGCAATGTCAGTTCACTGCAACATCCGCCTCCCGGGTTCAAGCGATTCTCCTGCCTCAGCCTCCCGAGTAGCTGGGATTACAGGTGCCTGACACCATGCCTGGCTAATTTTTGTATTTTTAGTAGAGAGGGGTTTCACCATGTTGGCCAGGCTGGTCTCAAACTCCTGACCTCAGGCGATCTGCCAGCCTCCGCCTCCCAAAGTGCTGGGATTACAGGCATCAGCCACTGTGCCCGGCCTATGCCCATTTTTCAAAAGCATTATTTTATAACTCTTTAAAAATGTTTTTAAGTCTATAATTTGGTCTCTTGGGATAAGAAGTTCTTTTTTATTTATTTAATGTGTTCACTGATGTTTGCAAATATTTAACTACAAAGATAATCATTAGGTATTGTTGTAAGTTTTTGCAAACAACGAAGACTCTAAAAATTATAAAGATCTTCTTTCATTGAGGGAAAAAAGTTATAAAAAACAGTTGGAAACTGTCGGGCACGGTGGCTCACGCCTGTAATCCCAACACTTTGGGAGGCCAAGGCAGGAGGATCACCTGAGGTCAGGAGTTCAAAACCAGCCTGGTCAACATGGTGAAACCCCATCTCTACAAATATACAAAAATTAGCCAGGCATGATGGCCTGTGTTTGTAGTCCCAGCTACTTGGGAGGCTGAGGCAGGAGAATTGCTTGAATCCAGGAGGCGGAGATTGCAGTGAGCCGAGATAGCATCATTGCACTCCAGCCTGGCCAACAGAGTGAGACTCTGTCTCAAAAAAAAAAAAAAAGTCGGAAACAACATACATGCCCAAAAATAAGATACTGATTTTAAAATCCTTATTAAACCTCCATGCAATTATTAATATTATTTAAAATTTTAAATGACATTCAACTTTTATGGCATATTTTGATAAAAATGGGTTAAAAATAGTCAATATATTATTTTGCAAAGGGTATATATGTATGTGTGTGTGTGTGTGTGTGTGTGTGTATATATATATATATATATATATATATACTTTGAAAATTACCTTTACATATATAGTAAGTAAATACTGTTACTATGTACACCCATATATGCTGACATACATATAGAAAATATTTGGAAGGCTTACATTAATATTATCAGTAGTTGTATCTTGGTGACAGGACTATGGATAATTTTTAACTTAGTTTTTTATCTATCTCTTCTTGTAATATAAACATAATACTTTGATAACAATGAAAAACATGAGAAAACAAAAGTTCATTGCTCTCAGGACACTTTTCTGCACTGCGTAGAACGTTAGAACTCAGTCTCACCTTGACCCCTGATGAAGTGAAGCCACTCAGAGAGTGGAAATCACAAACTATGTAGGCTACAAGGTATGTACTCATTTTTACAGTAGTTTCAAAGTGATCTTCCAAAAGACCTCCTTCAAGTTCAATTGTCTTAACCTACAGAAAGGAAAAGGAATAATCAGTACTTGAAAACTGGAGTATTTCATAACCATGCCTATGACTTATGGCAGGTGAGTTAGAGGCAAGCCTCATACTCTGAAGGACAATCGATGACCTCCTAGGGGGGCAATGGCCTCTCCTAGTATTCTGTAGCCTCTCTTACCTCCATTGCTTTTACCCCAACACTCTGTTGAAAACAAAAAGCCCTGCTTTTGAGATCCCCAAAGCACAAAAATGCCAAATCTCATTTTGTTGATTGAAAGCATAAAAATATTACATATTTCTATTTTCTTAAAATGCAATAATTTCCAACACTGGCATCAATTCAACTTCTGTGCTTTTAAGTAAAATACCAGATAATGGCCCCTTTCCCTTTATTTGTTGTACAAGAAGTACACCCCTGTGGAAAAAGAAAACAGGAAGTGAAACTGAACTAGAGGCTGCACATTATCTTTTAATCCTGTTATGTGGGTGTGAGGTTGGTGTTGTTTCTCAGGTGAGGAAACAGAGACTCTGAAATGTTCACAGAATTGTTGGAGATCACATGGCTAGTTCCACGGTAGGACCAAGATGTGGATGTGACCGTGTGACTCCAAAGATGATGCTCATTCTCTCACTTGCTGCGTGACAGCTTGAGTCATGGTCTTATTTTATCTTTGCTTCATTGATTCAGCAATGAAAGCAGTCAGGCCAAGGAGGTCATTAGTAATTTAAGCTTCTGTCCATCTCCTGAGGAAGCAGAAACTTTTCAGCCTGCAGTCTCGTCAGCTGCATCTATCAAGATCACTGGGTAATGACTGAATTCTATCTTCATTTGGTCTGGGCAGCTTGTCTCAGAGATGGTCTTCACCATGGTACAATGCCCCCAAATACTGAATGGATACAGATCCAATAATCTGAAAACATTTTCTTCAAGCTAGTCACAACTCCTAGACAGGCTCTTCCCCACCTCTATCCCTGAGCCCTTTCTGGGAGTCAGGCTTGTGATGATGCTGACTGCAGCTTATTAAGCATGTTTGACATGTTGGATAAGATTACGATTTGCTTTGGCAAGAGAAAATAGCTTGAAGCATTACCATAAATTATCTAGTCTACTTTGATGGCAAATGTTTTTGCTACTAAATTCTACAGAATTTAATTTTGCTGAATTCTATTTGAAATCTATTTCTAAGCTCCAATAAAGAGGAAGGTACTGATAAAATACTGTAAGAAAAGTCAAAGTATATACAGGGCTGTAATTTTTAAGAACTCTATCCAGCAAATTAATTTTCCCCAACAACCGTCTCCATTTTTAGGAAGCTGATTCAACCAGTGTTCTCTGGATATCCACTCCCAGCAGAGGAGGTGCTGTCTTATGGTAGGGGCTGAGAGCTGGGGTATTATTGTGGTCTTCTGACCAAACTCAGCAGCAAAACCATTTAGTCAAGTGTGTGGAGGGGTTACTGGCAGAGGCGTGAGGCTGTGAGACTATGGGGAAATACGTCTGGGCTACTAGAAGGCTGGTGGCAGAGATGGTTCGGAGGCAAATGGGCGTTTGCTATGGTTTATCCCCACCAGATGAAGACGATACAGTCCATGGAGGCTGAGTTTTGTTCAGAAACCTGGAGTGACCCATGTAGATTAACATTGCCTTAAATAGACGTGTATGGGGTATTAGTGTAAGTTCTTCCAGGATGGTGATGTAATCTCAAGTACAAAACACTGACTGCTAGACAAGGATTTAGCTGTTTTCTCAATACCAGCAGAAGTTTACTTGCATGGCAATTGTCACCAGTGAGTGTGTGTTTCCTTACAGGATGAAAGAGACAAATAAGTGTCCAAAAGATATGCTGCCTCTACTAGCACTTGGACCCTGCAGGGTCCCTGAGTTTGAGACCAGGCTGACTAACGTGGTGAAACCCCGTCTCTACTGAAAATACAAAAAAAGTTAGTCAGGTGTAGTGGTGGGAGCCTGTAATCCCAGCTACTTGGGAGGCTGAGGGAGGAGAATTGCTTGAACCCAGGAGGCTGAGGTTGTAGTGAACCGAGATCACGCCATTGCACTCCAACCTGGGCAACAGAGAGAGACTCTGTCTCAAAACAAACAAACAAACAAAAAACTTGTATAACCACAATTAATAATTTTCATAAATAAATTTAAGAATTACTTGTGAAACTTAAAAGAGGGGATTTCTAAGTTCCATCATAGACTTCTAGATCAGAATTTCTTGGGTTGGGGCCCTGCAGGGTCCCTGAGGTCCTTGCCACTGCAAAAGGGGTCTCTGGACCGTCAGCAGTGGCTGGAGGCTTGTTGGAAAGGTAGAACTTCAAGCTTCAACCCAAGACCTCTTCTTGAATCAGAATCTGAGTTTTAGCAAGATTCTCAGACCATTAATCTGGACCCTAAAGTTTGAGAAGTACTGCTCTAGGAAATTCTGAATTTCATCCCTGGCCAAGAAACACAGATTTAAGATACTGTTTCCATATGAACACAAAATATAAATCACTTTGCTTGGGAAAAAAAAAGCTTCCTGTGTAACAATGCCCCAAACAGAATGATGTTAACGTCTAGAATGATTGAAATTATGATGATAGATAGATAGATAGATAGATAGATAGATAGATAGATAGATAGATAAAAACAAATTAATGGCTGAAATCCTGAAAGCAATTTTAAAAAACAAACGAAGACTGAGTCTCAACTTGAGAACAATTTCTAAAAGTTTCTGGAAGTGGACATACCTTTGGCATGTTGGATAGTGCAATATGCCTGCTCTCTCTTCGTATCTTGATTGAAAAGTTGGCTTTGAACAACGGTTCATCAAAGCAAGGGAAAGCCATGCGTGCCTGGGTTGGCTCAAAATCTGTTACTGCAAGAATTCTGTGAAAAGACCCACCCCCAGCCAAAATGCACAAGTGAAATCAAGAAGAGAAATGAATCTGTACATTCAGCAAACAGCTTATCAAACCTGGGGGTAATAGACTTGATTTCTCAAACTGCAATCTTTGTGAATCTCAACTGTCTCTTTGAGGAAAATGAAGGTAAAATCTTATTTAGCAGCCATCAATCATAAGCAATGCCCTGTTTTGGGAATGCTAATTACATTATTTCATTCATACTCAGGTCAAACAAGGATATTGAGGCTCAGACAACTTGAATGACCTTAGCAGGATCCGCAGCCAGTAAATGACTGAAATAGTACACATGTTGTCTACATGTCTTCAAAATTCACTAGGAAATTAAATGTTCAGTATTGTCTCTAAACCTGAAAGGGCCTCAGATAGACATTTGAGTAATTGTGTACATGAGTGATGTCCTAAGTTGTATTTCCAGGAAGCAGATCCTGACTTATTGAGAACATCCTGCCAGGAGAAACAGGTAAGGGAGTGAGGGAAGCAGGACAGGGAAAAGGGAGAAGCCAGTCAAGGGTGCAGGACAGGCAAAGTCCCAGCATCAGCCTGATTCCCAGGGAGCTCTGGGATGCAAACTACGCCTTCACGTGTCCCCCACTGGAGGCAAGGAGCTGGACTTTCATATTCTTGTACCATTGTTGGCTAATGGTCTGTCTGTGGCACCTGTGCCCCCAGGTACTTCTAGTTCTCTCTGCTTGCCACTCTTCAGATGATGACAGGTATAATAGATATATACTCTGATAAACTTCTCTACCCCAACACCAGGATATGCCTGAAACTGTACAGTTACAGATTTACTCTTTGGACTTTAAGCTTCAATTAAGAAGTGAATTTGGAGAGCAGATTTTGACTGGAAAAGGAGGGGGGAATAGAATAGCTCAAATAAGAGGGAGAGAGAGGTCAGGAGGGAAAAAAGAGAAGCTGTCAGGATATTTTACTTCAGCTTGCTTTATTTCTATGACACAGGCTGGGAAACTGAGGCTAGGGATGTAAATGATTCACTTGTGGCCTCAAGGTTTTATTTGTATTTGGTAGCAGTTTCTGCAAATGTAAAGGAATTCTAACTGGCTGGAATAATTTTCACTCACATGAAATTTTGGTTGTAACAAGTCTACATTGAAAAAACAAAAAAACCTGAATCTTTGTTGCTTACACGATTCATTGGAACTCTACATGCAAAGTGTGACCTTCTGCATCTCAAAAGAACCACTTTCAACTGAATTATTTGTGTAGTTTAGATGAAGAAGTGAGGAAGAAAGAGAGAGAGATTCATAAGATTCAATTGACATTGTGCAGTACATTATCATACATGTCAGACCTACTAGGTGACTGAGTATGAAGGGAACTGACTAATTAACCATAAGGAGCATCAGGAATAGCCTGCAATTAATCACGGGAGGCATGCTGGAAAGTCCTACAGCTTTACTCCAAATATCTCCCCCTCTCATCTCCCACAGCTCCCAGAATAGTATCCCTAAGATATATGTCCTTTGGATGGGGCCTTCGGCATTTGAAAAAAATGAAAAAAGCCATCATTGTTTATGTGGTGCCTTAGTGAGAAGAAGTTGACACTTTTCCTATCCAATACTGTGCTGAGCCTGAAAACAAGCCCCTGAGGATTGTGGCTGCAATGAGGGGAAGTGTCACCAAGGGAATGTGGAAAGAGAGGAGCCTGGGGAAGAGTTGTCCTAGGTGGATGGCTGCAGGCTGTGCAGTGAGCACCCAAGTGGGGAAGGGAAGAGCAGGATGTAGTAGACACAGCTAGTCACTTCCTGATACCCATTTCCCTTCCTTGGTTCCAGTGGAATCCTGATTTTATTCAGGAAGGCAACAAGTCCAGATAAGAGAGTTACTTCTTACAGGCTACCTTGTGACTTGGTGAGGCTATGACTCATTCTGGTCTAGCTGAAGTCATTGGGTGGGAAATCTTTGTAAAGAGTGTTAGATTCAAGTGGAATGTTTCTTTTTGCCCTTATCTCTCCCCCGTGTCCCCCTTCTTCCTGCCTAGAATGTGGACTTGATGCCTAGAGGTGCAGCAATCATCTTGCAAGTATTAGGAAGAAAGCCATAGGATGGCTGAGCAGAAAGACAGAAGGAGCCTGGGTCCTGGATGACTCTGAACAGCACTATAGCAATCTGAGCTGCCCTACTTCTGGACTTCTTGTTGCATGAGAAAAATATGCCCCTGTGTGGTTAAGCCATGGAATTTAGATTTCTCCAACTGGCAATTGAACACAATTCACATAACGTGAGAGTGCACTGAGCCAGACTCCTCTTACCTCCCAGATGGATCCTGGCCCTGGGAAACCAAGCCGTCCACTCTATGAAGCATCCTTGATTCTTCTATTTCCCTCACCTCACATGACCAATATGTCAGCAATCTCTGTTGTTTTGCCCTCCAAAATAACTGCCAAGTTCAATTGTTTCACTCCATAAGCACTGCCACTAGCCTGGCCCAAATTAGCATCACTTCTTACCTGAACTACTGCAATGACCTCCCAATTGATTACTCTGCTTCTCTATAACATACCCTCAACATAGACTTGATCTTTATAAAGCATAAATCAGAGCAGAATCCTCCAGTGATTTCCCATTTCATCTGAGTTAAAGTCAAAACTCCTTACAAGACGCCCCAAGGCTCCACATGATCTGATCCCTTTCTCCCTCTTGTTCGCTCTCCTCAGCTTACACTGGCCTTCCTCAACCAATCCCACTTTAGAGCACTTGCCCCGAGATGTTCTCATAACTGTCTCTTTAAAAAAAAACTCAGCTCTCAATTTAAATTCACTTCCTCAACAAACACTTCCCTGCCCAGTCAACTGAATTAGTTTCAATCTCCAGCCTCATTTTCTACCTTTCTTGCACCTTGTTTTATTTCATTCATAACACTGGCCAATTACCTTGCCAATTTTATTGATTTTCTTGTCCTGGTTGTCTCTTCCATCAGATCCCACCATTATACATTCAGTGCCTAGTGCAGTGCCTGGCACATAGTATGTGCTCAATGAATGTGACTTGATCAAATTGACTATATTTCTCAATTTTCCAAACTAGTTCCTTGTTTCTGACTATTCGATATGAGTCATGGCTGTTACCTAGGCAATGTATACTTTGTCACTTCCTCTCTCCCAATCCCAGTCTCACTTACATTTCCTTCTGGTCCCAGATGAAGACTCACTTCCTTTGAGAAGCATTCCCTATTTCAGCCCTCTCTGCACTGACCATCTCTTTCCCTAGCACATAAGCATATCTATCATATCAGTCATATACTGGCCTCTCCTCCTAGTTATTCACCCTCTAGCTGTTTATGCCTCTGAGTCCTGTCTTTACATCTCTACTGTGGTTTCCTTAAGGAATGGTAGATCTTTTCCTTCTTCTGGGTTCCCCATAGTTCACTGGATTTCTCATAAATGGCTGCTGAAGTCTGCTCCTGGCAAAGAGATGTAACTCGTAAGGAAATTATCACAAAAGAATGTAAATTACCTGAGCAAGTTCTTACCTTGTTTCACCACCAAGAGTTCTGTATGTGCTTTTATAAAACCCTTCAAAGCCATCACCTAACTTGGCTTGGAAGTCCATAGCCACATAGTATTTCAGGTGAGGCGTAAGTTTCTCTGGAACCAGCAGTGCAATTTGTTCATGAGCAGGGTAACTCAAAACTTTCAGTTCTTTTCCTGGTTTCATGTATCTTGAATCTTCCTCTGACTGAAGGGTGGCATTCGTGATTTCAAGATCTTTGCTGTGCAAGATGATAAACTGGGTAGCATTGCTGACCAAGACTTCGATCTTCTCAGATGCAACAAAGTCCAGAGAGGTGAGATTGGGGTGGACAAAGAGGTCATAATGGAGAGGAATGACCACACTGGGGAGCCTTAGCTCCTGCCAAGGAAATCGTTCCCCATTAGTGGCTACTGGGAAAGCCCCAGGATCCTCAGTGAAGTGATAACTAGATGGCACTGAGAACTGAGAACAAATGCATATTTGGGGCAAGATGGCTGTTAAGCAGTAAAATCCTCTGTGAATGTTAAACATTGGTTTTCTGTGTGAATTAACCATTGCAGAAGAATGGAACATGAAATCTATTCTCTAGAAGACAAGTTAATATCCAGGCTAATCTCGTAGTTCTTCATGGCACTGCACTGGCTCCAGTTATGTCACATGGGGTCTGAACAATATTTTCAATACATGAATTTAATCTAGAAGAAAAAAACACACTTATAGCATGACAAAAAAGATTTCAATTTACAAATAAAATCTTAAACATGTAAAAAGGTATGTGTGAGTAAGGGAAAATCTGCTCTCTGTCAGAATTAGGCCAAGTATCCACAAAATAGAGCAGAAATTAAGCTGTTATCTGGTTATTACAAATAAAAACCCTTTAGGACTCCCCCAAAAAACCCTACCTTAAAATTGAATGTAATGAATTTCTTCTGAATTCTTGTGCAGCGAGCAGAAGGCAGGTGTGTAAATTCATTGCATGTTGAATGTTTTTAACATTTGGTTATATTTTAAATTTTTGTTTATTTATTTATGTTTTAGACAGGGTCTTGCTCTGTTGCCCAGGCAGGAGTAGAGTGTGCAATCATGATCACAGCTCACTGCAGCCTCAACTTCCTGGGCTCAAGTGATCCTCCCACCTCAGCCTCCAGAGTAGCTGGGACTACAGACACACACCGCCACACTCGGCTACCTTTTTTGTAGAGATGGGGGTCTCCCTGTTACCCAGGCTGGTCTCAAACTCCTAAACTCAAGCAATCCTCCCAAACTGTTGGGATTACAAGCGTGAGCCACTGTGACCAGCCTACTTTATTTTTATTCATTTATTTATGTTTTTGAGACGGAATCTCGCTGTTGTCCAGGTTGGAATGCAGTGGCACTATCTTGGCTCACTGCAACCTCTGCCTCTGGGGTTCAAGTGATTCTTCTCCCTCAGCCTCCCGAGTAGCTGGGATTACAGGTATGTGCCACCACACCCAGCTAATTTTTGTATTTTTAGTAGAGACGGGGTTTCACCATGTTGGCCTGGCTAGTCTCGAACTCCTGACCTCAGGTGATCCACTTGCCTCAGCCTCCCAAAGTGCTGAGATCACAGGCGTGGGTCACTGCGCCTGGCCATATTTTATTTTTTTTGAAAGACAATGTGTCACCATGTTGCCCAGGCTGGCCTCAAATTCCTGGGGTCAAGCAATCCTGATGTCTCAGCCTCCCAATTAGCTGGAACCACAGGCACACATGTAATTTTAAGTGTATGCCTGAAAGTAAACTGTGCAAGATGTCTCTATTTTGTCTTCATAAGTCACAAAGAATATTCTATATATATATTCTATATTCTTTGGATACCAGATATTATTATTACTACGAATGGCATTGAACTTCACCTCTTTCAATAACATTATCTGAATGGCCTCATTTTATGGCTACTGGTGTAAAGGTTGCTGGTCAAGGTAGGTATTTATCCCCAGTTTATTTTCAATATGTCAAAAGCCATGGAAATAAATTTTGAGTTTATAATATTCTTACAGAATTTTTTTAAGGTTCGGTTCTTTTCCCTTTACACTACTTTTGAAAGCACAATTAAATCAAACTGAATTTACTACCTTTGTAAATAGAACTAAGTTTCTTTCTTTTTGAAGGGTAAAGCTACAACACATATAAAATTAGGACAAACAGCATAGTTAATTTGGGGGAATCAATTCTTACTGCCACCCTACCACCTGCCTCTACTTACTTCCTTACTGCTCCAACTCAAACCATGAAGGTTTTCTCTGCTACTTCTTCTTTTTATAATCCTTAACAAGTTCTGCAGCATTAATTATCCAAACAATTACTTCAATTTTTCAATTTGCAATATTAATGCAGGTGACAGGTATTGTTAAAGGAACAAAAATAAAATAATATTAAAGATACTTCTCCCTCTTTTTAAAAACAAGCATTAAATTACTGCTACAAATCTCAGTGTTCCAAGAACGTCTGATAAGTACACTCATAATTGGTCTATTAGCTTGAATTTTGGAGGGTTTAAAAAAAATGGAGTGGCTTATTATGTGGGTCTGAGGCTTTGGAATCAGAGTGCCCAGATTCCAACGCTAATTCCACCAACCTCACCTACGTGATCATGGGCAAAGTTTTTTACTTTTTGAGCTTCATTTATCTCAACCATAAAACAGTGTAATAATTATACCTTCCTCATGCTGGGATGATTAAATGAAATAATTCATGTGAAGAAGTTGGCACAGCACAGCATGGAGCATATAGGAAGTAAGTAATTAGTGTTGGATATGAAATTATTATTGAGGTTATAACTTGCATTCAATGGCCAAAATGAAGGAGTAGCTCGCCCCCACTTGTAGCAGACACTCCTAGAGATGTACTTGATTGATAAGAGTAGAGAGAAAAGCTTTACTCACACAGTCTTTAACTTTAGAACTAGTAAGGGTTGTAAAGGCCAGCTAGTACAAGTCCTTAGTGTTCAGATAAAGAAACAGGACCGGGCACAGTGACTCAGGTCTGTAATGCCAGCATTTTGGGAGGCCAAGGTGGGCAGATCACCTGAGGTCAGGAATTCGAGACCAGCCTCACCAACATGGTGAAACCCTACCTCTACTAAAAATACAAAAATTAGCCGGGCATGGTGGCACATGCCCGTAGTCCTAGCTACTCGGGAGGCTGAGGCACGAGAATCGCTTGAACCAGGGAGGTGGAAGTTGCAGTGAGCCGAGATCGTGCTGCTGCACTCCAGCCTGGGCGACAGAGCGAGGCTCTCTCTCAAAATAAATAAATAAATAAATACATAAATTAAATTAAATAAACAGATGAAGGAACAGGATGGTGACTTCTCAAAATCCACACAGGAAGTCTGAAACAGAATCAGGACTAAAACATAGCTCTTTGCCCTTTGGTCTGGTGGGCTTTCTATTATACTGCACTGTACCTTAAATAGCAATGCAGTGAACAAAACATCCTGGGATTGAAGAGGCAAGAATTGTCACAAACGCTTAGAAAAGACAAAAAGATCTCTGAAAGAGAGTCAGTGCAGCAGCGTCTTAGATCAAGTCCCAGCCTCAACTGCATACACTTTCTAATACAGCCGCGCCCAATTCACCCCAGTCCCCCAGAACCTTGCCTTAGATTACAAAACCTTCTCAACACAGCAGTTCTATACCTTCAGTTCATTATTCTTATTGAAAAAATCTAATTTTAAGACAAACCCAAGAGAAATGTTGATACGTTACCTTAAATCATGCTGCTGCAGATTTGACTGAAGGGGAATTTACTTTTGCTTTCACTTTCTGTTCTAAGATTCAGAACTTTGCATGCTTCCTGAGTACAGTAAGTACTAGCTGGTTCATTATCACGCAGGTGTGAATGGAGCTTAGGATAAGAGCTTTATTTCAAAAAGGACAAGAAACTTTTTGTAGAATGCACAAATAAGTGGCTTTGGAGTAGAAGCCAAACCATGGAAAGAAAGGATCGCCAGTGGCTGCCACTTCTGCTGTTATCACCTCCCTTCCCTTGTCCCCAGGGTAAAGCCTTCAGAACATAGTTTATGTTTTTTAGTGCCAAGTTGTTGTCTTAGGAATTGATCTTGAACTTCTCCTTGTGCTGCATCCTCAGTGCTATGAAATCTGACTTCTGCCCATCCACCCCACAAACGTAACTCCAAGCTTACCAAACACCTCCCGGGCAGCTTCTGTGATCTTTATCAGAGGTGATTATTCTCAGATTTTCCATGTCTGTAACCACCCTGTCTCCTTGGGCACGAGGGGACTGTATCTCATGCTCATCTCTTTGATCTCTCTTTATCTGCCTGTTTGAGTTGGGCTTCAACTTCCTCTCTGCTCTGAATACAGACCTTCCACAAAGATGAAACCTCTGGCCTTTGCTCTGCCCTCTCTTTATCCTTTCCAGTACCCAGATTTAGCATTTATCCCCATTCATCCCACATTGCTCCCATTGTGATCCCTCCTTCAAGGGTTCTGCTGCTGTAATTCCAACAGCCTGATGGACCAACAGTACATGGATGTCTAACCCTAACCTGAACCAGAACCCTGACAACTCAAATAGTGTTTTCTTTCCCCAGATAAACACCCTTTGCTTTATATGCTTCCAGCCTTCTTCCATTATCTAGGATTGAACCATATAGTTAGTTACTTTGATTCTGTCCCTCTCCAATTTGTTACCAAAGCCTGTTGATTTTTCCTTTTCTTTTCTTTTTTTTTTTTTTGAGATAGGGTCTCACTCTGTCACCCAGGTTGGAGTGCAGTGGTGCCATCCCAGCTCACTGCAGCCTTGACTTCCTGAGCTCAAATGATCCTCCCACCTCAGCCTCCCAAGTAGCTGGGGCTACAGGCATCCACCACTACACCCAGCTAATTTATTATTTTTTTTTTATAGATGAGGTCTTCCCATGTTGCTCAGGCTGGTCTCAAACTCCTAGGCTCAAGTGATCCTTCTGCCTCAGCCTCCCAAAGGATTGGGATTACAGGCATGAGACACCGCAACTGGCCTTTTTGAATCATTTTCAATCTCTTTCTATCCAACTAAGAAAAAATCCCACCGCTTATTAAAGTAGTCCAGGTCCTCATCCTTCCTCACAATGGCCTTCAATCATGTCTTCCCAGCTTCTCAAGCTCAGCTTCTTGCAGTTACTTGTACGATGCCACCAGATTAATCCTTTCAACTACTGCTCGACCATGCCTCCCCCACTGCTCAAGATCTTTCCTTGATTTCCCCATTTACAGAGGGGCAAGTCCTAGTGTGGGAACCATAGTGGCCTACTGGCAGCCTATATGCCAGCCTATAGTTGTTTTGTTTGAATCACAGTCTATTAAATGGCAATACATCCATACAATTTCTATTGTCAAGTGAAATATAACAAGCTTAGCTCTTATCATGTTGCAGACACTCTTCATAGACTTGTATCATGTGCCTTGTCCTGCTGTGGTTTGTGTTTGCAACCTATGTTTGGCCCAATAGCACATGTTGCCATGATTAGATCCTAGTTAAGTCTCAAGCTTTAATTTTTCCACCTTTCTACATTTTATTATTTCAACCTGAAAGAACAAGTCGATAAAGTAGAAGGGGCAGAAAGGAAGGCAGTAGCCTACACCTAAGGCCCGAAACATAAGACTGAATGGGGTCCCTCAGAGCTGCATTTCATGTAGTGAGAGGGGCACCACAGGAAGGGGGATGGCTGGAAGCCAGTGAGTGGGAAAAAGAAGGGGACAAAGACGACAAAGAAGAGGAGGCCCCAAGGGCTTATCTACGGACTCTAACTCTGCAGGGCGTGGGGGCAGGTAGAAGAGGTATAGGAGGCTGGGAGTATTTCTGTGATATTCCTTGTCACAAGATCCAGCCTAGCTGTGGGTATGTGGGCGAGTGCATGTGTGTTTTCAGAGCTCTCTCCTGCCCACTGGAACAGAAGTGGTGATGGAGAATGAAGAAACAGGCTATGGAATTGAGCTGCAGAATCCTAGAAGTGAAAATTGAGCCAGATTCAAGTACTTGTAGCTTATTTAAAAGAGTTTCTCAGCAAAATGGGCTCCTAACTTTTCTTTTCTTTCTTCTTTCTCTCTCTCTTTCTTTCTTTCTTTCTTTCTTTCTTTCTTTCTTTCTTTCTTTCTCTCTCTCTTTCTTTCTTTCCTTCCTTCTTTTTTTTTTCTTTTCTCTTCTCTTTTCTTTGGGATAAGCTTTGGGAAGTTTATTGCTTAGGGAATTCATGTCTCAGTTTTCCATTTCATCCTGGTCTCTGAATTGTCTCTTACTCAGAGAGACCCTCCTTGTTGGCTCTAAGGCAGTACCACTCCTCCCTAAATCCACCATCACCAAGGCCTATCCTGTCAGCCTGCTTTTTGTTTCTTCTTAGCTTTGGTCAGTTCCTTATACTTCATTATGTAGTTGTTTGTTTGTTTTCTTGTCTCCTCACTAGAACATAAGCTTTTTGCAGTAGCAACTCTGCCCTCTAACTGCTGAGTGCCCAGTATAGAGCAGAGCCTGCCATATAAGAGACCCTCAACAAATGTTAGTTGAGTGGGTGAATGCATTTTCAGTGTTTTAGTTTTTGTTTTTGTTTTTTGTTTTTCCTTAGATTGCCCAACACTTGCTTCATGCTTCAAGCACATCAGGGTGCTTTCCACTTCTGGATGAGCCAAGTGTTTCCTCAGCTTTTCTGCACCTTCCTCTCCATTGACCTAGAGTGTCTATGGAACACTCAGAGTGTCCCCTGTGTAAACCACCTACCACAAGGTAAATGCCAGCCCCAAGAAGCCACTTTGGAAGTAACACATGCTTCCTTTCCAGTCCCAAACTACAGGCATTTGTTTAGTAGGTCTACTGGCACTCATCTGAGGCTAACAAGTTTGTGTTTCGTTTTCTTCCTCAGATTATCAACTTCAGGCAATGGACCACGCACCAGGATTCCACCTCTTTCTAGCACCTATCAGTGTTGCGCACATCATAGGCCCTCAACAAACAGGTGAGAATGAATGAGTTAACAGTGAATTTTCCAAAGAGATGAGACTTTATTGTCAAAATATTTTAAAGATTTCACGAATTTTCATGATTTTTTTTTTTTGACAAAGTCTCACTCTGTCACCCAGGCTGGAGTGCGGTGGCACAATCTCTGCTCACTGCAACCTCCGCCTCCTGGGTTCAAGTGATTCTTGTGCCTCAGCCTCCCAGGTAGCTAGGATTACAGGCGCCCACCACCATGCCTGGCTAATTTTTGTATTTTTAGTAGAGACGGGGTTTCACCATGTTGGTCAGCCTGTCTCAAACTCCTAACCTCAGGTGATCCACCCACCTTGGCCTCCCAAAGTGCTGGGATTACAGGCATGAGCCACCGCACCCAGCCGAGAATTTCTATTAAATATATTACATATGTTTCTATCCTCTTAGGGTGTTCTCAACAGATTTAAATCTTAATGACTTCATTTTTTAAAAAATTATAAACTGAACCTAGGATCAAGAGAATTGAAACATCTTCTTAAAATAATTCACTTCCTCATCTCCAAATTAGACACAATGATACTTTGCTACAGAGGATTATTGTCAATCCGAGAATCAATTAGGGAAAATATATGAAAGACAATTCATAAATGTTTTGTAAACTTTAAATTTCTTTACCTGCATCAGTTACTTTTATTCTTATTTTTTGTTTTTTGGGACAGAGTCTTGCTCTGTTGCCCAGGCTGTAATGCAGTGGCACAATTACAGCTTATTGGAGCCTCAACCTCCTGGGCTCAAGCGATTCTCTTGTTTCAGCCATCCAAGTAGCTGGGGCTACAGGTGTGCACTACCACACTTGGCTAATTTTTTAATTTTTTGTAGATATGGGTTTTCACCATGTTTCCCAGGTTGATTTCGAACTCCTGAGCTCAAGTGATCCACCTGCCTTGGCCTTTCTTCCTTTTTTTTTTTTTTTTTGAGACAGGGTCTCATTCGGTCACCCAGGCTGCAGTACAGTGATGTGATCTCGGCTCACTGCAACCTCTGCAGTGGGGAGATACAGAATGAATAAAATGACGAATGGCTCCCTGACAGTGCTAGATGCTTGTAACTCTGAAGCCAACTTATAGTTTAAAAAGTAGCTTCCTTTTCTCTGACTTCCATTTTATTTTTCAAAAGGATCTCTATAAATCTATTAAAAATACTTCTAAGAATTATTGTTATGCCTATGTTCTTTTTCAGACAAAATAGAGACAGAGTCTATATTATGGGCTTAAAATTTTTAATTTAAAGAAAATCAGTGAAAGTTTATGTTAGTATAAAGACTCAGAGCCTTATGCAAAATATGAGAAATGGGGGTAGGGAGGGGAAATTCACCTAGTAAATGCAATCTATAGCTTCTTTTAAACTCATTCAGTTGTAACAGAAAATGAAAACATGTATTCTCAGAATTTTAAATCAGTAACTGACAGGAAGATGGTTTTTCAAAAATGGTTATCTTTTGCAATGCCTTCCACAAAGCACTTACTGAAAACAAAAACAGAAAAATGCCGCCATAAAAATCTGATGTTGTTAAAGTGGAACAGAATATTAGACAAACTTGACATTGAACAACTGCTATTTTACAGCATTAAAAATTTTTATTTAGTAGCCAAATGAAAAATGCTGGTGCCTCTGTTATTTTCTTTCCAATTACAGATTATTTAAATAACTGATGACACATTCTCAAACAGGAAAAATGATGGCAAAATAAACCAGGGTGATTCTGAGCTTGTTAAATATTTTGAAAGTAAATTTGCATGCTTTCAACCAACCGATTAAAACCAACTGATTAAACCAAATCAGTAATGTTTTGGCTTCTCCCCTACTTAAAAATTTAACTAAAAGATCTAAAAAAACTTTTGCTTCTGGCCAAGATAGAGTAGGGACTCTGATTTATTCTCCTGCTTAAAACAACCAAAAAAAGATGAACAAAAGACAGTTTACAAGACAATGAATATCAGGCAACCCAAGACAGCAATCCCTGGAGAGAAGGAAACAAATAGGCAAGCTCTGTGATTTTCCCAGCTTTCTGCCTTGAGAGAGGTTCCAGGCTGCTTTGCAGGGAGACAGAACTAAGGCAGAGCCCAGCAGATTCTTTGAGTTGAGGAGATGCAGATGAGATTCTGGGAGAGCAAGGAAACCAGAGTTCATAGGATGAATACCAAAGAGGAGAGAGCTGCAGAAAGAGACGAACGGTGTGTGGGAGGGCAGGCTTTGGAAACCTGCTGAGGATTTTCCTGGAGTATTCTGCTGATCAATGATCAATATGCACATGAGCAGAAAATAAACGTTGCCAGAAACTGAACCACTGAAAAGGATTAGTGGGAACAAAGCCTGGTGCTTGCACAGAGACAGAAGTAGTGCTTGTGCCTACCCATCAAACTGGAGAACCTCAAGATGAATGGGCCAATGGGTAGAGTGTGCTAAAGTGTCTTACCTCAGTAGTGGGGAGCAGATAAGTCTCTGCTCTGGTCCTGCCTAACAAATCTTAAAAGCAGGATCCAAAAGGATGAAACTTCTCAAGTAACTTATCTGTGTTCCAGCACAAAACTCAATAGCATAGTAATAAAAGAAAAATCCACCACCCAACTAGGCAAAAAGCTTGGTGGTGATTTTTGAACCAACTGGGTTTATTAACTCACTACATCAAGGGAAAACACCCTGGGGAGCCCTGGGGCATCTCAGAAAGAGAGTGTCAGAAAGGGGTCATTATGGGATGTTATAGGTGATTTGCATGAGAGTTTCATGGGGCAGGGCTTCGTTTTGGTTTAAATGTTCTAAGAAAGTGGGGGTGATTCTATGATTTCGTATCTTATTAAGAGATTAGACAAAGGCTAAGGCTGAAATTGGTGAAGAAACAGCAGTCATTCATATTAGCCAGGACCTGAAGATGTTTGGTCATTTTTGTGGTTTGGACAACGTTCATGTTTGCCTGTGTTCAGACATGATTATGGAGTTGGCTTGTGTTTGTCTTGATCCATCAGAGTCACAAGAGTGGTTGTGTCTGATGTTCATATTCCATGAAATTGTTTGTGTTCAACAGGAGAACACTGAGGTCTGGCTGTGAGTGCCCATTCAGCTCCTGGCTGTCAGAGACTGCCTTTCTCATTACTCTCAGCAGCTCTCAGATTTTGCAGCCCCTGGTCCTACTATCAAAAGCTTAGTCTGCCTCTTGGTTTCCTCTTCCAAATCTGCAAATGCCCCTGGGGAATTTCTGGAATCCCTCGTTCACCTCTTTGGGTTTCCAACTTTTCTAGAATCTTAGCTTAGTAATTCTTCACTATCTTTTTAGACTTTTATGCTTTAAAGATCTTTTTCTATTTTGTCTGTGTTTACAATTGTCTTCAGTGGGAGGGTTGGTCCAATTACATACTGTGCCATTACAGCAAAAGGCAGCACCCTCCCCCATCCCTGTCCCACTTGCAGATTTCCCTAAGCCTCCAAAAAGGTTTTTCTGGGCCTTTTGCCTGGGCACCCATCCTCTTCTCCGAACCATTTCAATGTGGATAGATGTCTGATCACCTTACAATAGCTCCACAGTCTTCATGGTCAGATTATTGAGGAGTTTTCACTAGACTTATGTTTAGGCTTCCCTAATTCAACACTCTTCGTTTCCTTCAGCTGTCTTCCTAACTCTCCAGAGCCATTTGACAATGTTTTTTGATATTTGAATACAGCAAAAAACCCCAAGCCCTTTGTTCCAGACAGATTGCTCCTTCTACCATCCTTTTCTATAAAAATCCTGAATCTACCTGTTATTTTCTAATAAATCTGTAAACTAAATAAATATGAGTGGGCTCATGGTTGTACTTTGGAAATATGTTGAGTAAGCTAATTCTCAACTTTCATCCAGGAGTAAATAGAGTCTTCTTCTTTTCATGAGTGTCCTCTGTTTGTACCTCTCTGAAGCCAACACTTGGTATAAAACTAGTCAGTGGAGGGTAGAGGGTGATGGGTACATACTTTTAAATAAGCAGTTATCAACTAGAGAAGTTATGGATTACAGCCTTCAGGCCATGATGTACAGTTTACCACCTAGCTTTCTGAATTTTATTGACTAATAAGACAGGTCACTCTATCTTCAGAGCAAAGCAACTCTGTGTAACCCTAGCTATGCATTTTAAATTACAATCAGTGTCATCTAGTAGCCAACCAACAAGTTCTCTTGAGCGAAGAAAGCAAAAGCAGCAGGAGCTTCATCTAGTGGTAACAAGTGTAACTGCAGAGACTCCTGTGTTGTAGAGCTAACACTGTGCAAACACACATCTTGAGGCAAATCACACAATCCAAAAAGCAATAACATTCTACGAGTATACAACCCAGACTTAAGATAATCAGATTTATAGGTAGGCTTGGATTTCGATATATGAAGTTGAGGACTGGGGGTGAGAATTTTTATGATACCATTACTAAATCTAATTTGAATGCTTGAATAACTATGCATTAGTAGAGCCTAGGGCAGTGATTCTCAGAGTATGCCTTGCCCCTCCAACAGCATCAGCAGCATACTGAACATTTGTTAGAAATGCAAATTCTCAGTCTTTCCCAAATGGAATTAATTGGAAACTCGGGGTGACGTCTAGAAATCTGTATTTTAACAAGCTTTTGAAACGGTTCTGATACACACTAAAATTTGAGAACCACTAGCCTAGGGTTAGGAGTTCAGGATCTTAAATAAAACATTCCCTCTTTATATCCCAGCTCAATTCCTGAATGGCTGAGTGGACTTGGGCAAGACACTTTTTCTCTAAGTTTTAAGTTCCTCATTTATCAAATGTTGGGAAAATAGCACAAACTTCATAGGGCTGTTGTGAGAATGAAAAGAGATATATCTGTGTTGCCTTAGTCAAAGTTCCCCACAAAAGACAGCATAAGGCAAAGTTTAGGTATTAATGCTCTACTGAAGGAGTGGTAGGTTGTATTTCCAAGGATGGCCACACCGATAACCAGTCTCATTTGCTCTTGTTAGTGAGGTCTCTGTTTCCTCCCCTTGAATCTGGGTAGATTTTTGTAACTGCCTTCAATAATATGCAGCAGGTCATAGAAGGGAGGTGGCTTCTGTGCACATGGAGGGCTGGGCTGACTTTTAAGAGAGAACTGATTGTATACATTTCTTTCCAATGTTGGGTCAGTGACTTCAAGTTGGTAGCCTGAGAATAGAGTTTTTTTGTTTGTTTGTTTGTTTTTCTTTTTTTTGGAGATGGAGTCTTGCTCTGTCACCCAGGCTGGAGTGCAGTGGTGTGATCTCGGCTCACTGCAACCTCTGTCTCCTGGGCTCAAGCAATTCTCCCTGCCTCAGACTCCCAGGTAGCTGGGATTACAGGCACTCGCCACCAAACCTGGCTCATTTTTGCATTTGTAGTAGAGACAATGTTTCACCATGTTAGCCAGGCTAGTCTTGAACTCCTGACCTCAGGTAATCCGCCTGCCTCAGCCTCCCAAAGTGATGGGATTACAGGCATGAACCACTGCACCCAGCCCACATAGAGTATTAAAGCAGGTAAATAAACAAATTATACAAAGCAGTACCTTTTTTTTCCCCACCATGAGAGCTGGTTGTTAAATATTTCTTGGAACTACTACTTCTCCTTGGTTCTGTCTCTCTCTGCTGGTCCTTGGAACCTGCCATGAGGCTATGAGGAATCCCAGGCCCACAAGTAGAGATGACTTGTTGGCATTCTGGCAGATACTTCCAGCTAGGTACTTCCAGGTGACAGCCAGCATCCAATACCAGACAAGTGAGTGAATGAGTTTCAAATCATCCCAACGCCACCCTTCAAGAATTCCACCTAAGACTCCAACATTTTGAAGCAGAGAAGAGTCATCCTAGCTATGCCCTGTCTAAATTCTTGACCTATAAAAACTGTGACAAATAGTAAATAATTATTGTTGCTTTAAGCCACTAAGTTTTGTGTTAATTTGTTATGCAGCCATAACTAAAGCACAGGGTATAATCTCAGGGAGAAGCCCAGCACGGTGGTTCATGCCTGTAACCCTAACACTTTGGGAGGCTGAGGCAGAGGGATTGCCTCAGCTCAGGAGTTCGAGACTACCCTGGACAACATGATGAAACCCCGTCTCTATTAAAAATACAAAAATTAGCTGGGCATGGTGGCGGGTGCCTATAATCTCAGCTACTCGGGAGGCTGAGGCAGGAGAATCACTTGAACCTGGGAGGTGGAGGTTGCAGTGAGCCAAGGTTGTACCACTGCACTCCAGCCTGGGCAACAGAGTGAGACTCTGACAAAAAAAAAAAAAAATATCAGAAAGGTAAAGCAGGGAAAAAGGGAAGTGAGGCAGGCAGAGAAGGAGGGAAATAAGCACAAAGCTAGGTACTGATGACCCAGTCACTCATCAAGGAAACGTAGCTGGTTGCTTGGTCCTGTGGGACATCCCCAGAGAGGCAGTATGGAACTCCTGGCTTCAGAATGGTTTATTTATAGAGTAAAAGGTGGACAAATGATCTGCTGACTTCTTCTTCTCCTGTTTGTCAATAGCACATCAACTCCTCAGCACTTCCAGCTTGTGTCAGCAGGTCCCTCCTGGTGGCTGACCAGCCTCCAGGCTGGCTAGTGTGCATGTACGAGGTCTCTCCTAGAAGGTGCCTTGTGATGTCTCCCAAGTTTCTTGTGGCTGTAATGGCAGGAACTATGGCTTTATAGCTGCGGGAATGACATTGGCTATTACTAAAGCAACTGCACCCAGAAAAACAACTCAGGCCCTGGGGCAGAGCTGGGATGGCGTATCAACCGGGTTGGGCATACATGTTAAATAAACATCCTTAATGAATGTTGGTTATAATTATCACTATTACTACTATATGTTACAAACACTGATGTTTGTCTATTTGTTTTCCACACAGATGTGTTTTTATTACTAAAATTGATATGAATATTGAAGAACGTAGAGATTAGCCTAAAAGTTGGCTCTTTAAGGCAAGAGTCACAGACCAAAATATGGGATGCATTAAGTATAAACAGCTTGTACACACATTAATTGCAGAGTTTAGATTATGTTGACACTTAGGAAGGGGAAGAGAACCAGAAAATGTGATCACTTTACCAAAGGAGAAAGTACAGGCTTGGCATAATGAGAGAATAAGGCATAACACTGGAAGCATGAAGCATGTAGATAACACTACTAGGCTTTGTACTTGTTTAAGCTAATAGCTATATTTCATTTTTAAATGGCTCCTTTTGTAAATACATAGAATAGTAATGTTACAAATAGATGTTACAATTGCTGTAAGTATGTATATTTGGTAGATTGAGTATGAAAAAAGCGATCTTGTATAGAACATACATGCGTAGAGTAAAAACACAACTAATTTTTGTCAGTCTGGGTGTAATGTCTTTGAGAAAGAAAAGTTCTTGACAAGGCCTGATGAAAGCAACATGGTTTGGAAGACAGTATTGCACCGCTTGTGTGGACCTATCTTATTTGACCATATGTAAATGAAGGCCATTCATCCATTCCAAAACCCTTATTGAGTATGCTGTGGAACTAGATTAGATGTGGTGTGGTAGGTGGTAGTAGAATTAAATGTTAGAGTTAAAGAAATTTTAGAATACAGTACTGGTATGGCATAATTAAAGCCTAAAGTAAGAAAAATGAAAAATAGAATAGTTACCTTTATTTTTTGGTAGACTAAAAACATTTGAGGGTTATTTGGAAATTGTATTTATTTTCCACTGCTGATTACCAATTTAGAAAACAAAACCTCAGATGTATTACTTGTAGAGAACAATTAACTATCTACCAAGTATTTCTACCTGGGTATTTTGACATCATTTCTGTAGCTTGCTAATGTTAAGCAAATCTCCCATTTCCTAATTTACTTAGAACTAGTTCGTACTTTGGAAAGCAGTAGGGCTTTTATACACATATTTACAATTGGAACAGGAGCAAAGGCCAACAGGTTATATTATTTCAGTGAAGACATTAGAAATGAAGGAAATGGACCTCCTTCCAATTCTGTTCTGGTTGGGTACTTTAATCACATTTTTTCTATAAGTTGCAGGTCTTGACTAATTTTCTGTGTCTATAAAAACATTCAGAGACATTTCCCATGATATGGATAAAAATTTCACTCATTTAGAAGACAAGGAGGATGGAACAGGTCATAAGTTCAAAGGAAAATAACTCAGTGTACTATCAGGGACCATATCCCATCACTTCAATTGTAGTTAATTATTGGCTAAAAATCCATAGAAAAATTTCTAGGAAGAATGCATACAAAAGTTAAAGGACAAAAATAAAACATTAGCTTTAGTCCAGGGCTTGTTTTTGAAGTTTTTAGCTCTCTGCTCAATTTCCATGTCTTTCAGATTATTAGCTCATATTTGCATTTCTGTATCCATAAGATTTTTACTGAAGACACACCTTTTTATAAATTGGACCTTTGATAATATTTTTATAGTTTTAACTTACACATATATAAGTCACTTTGAAAAAAAAAGTATTGTTCCCTTTTCAACCTATCAAATCTTTCCAATATTCTAAGAAAATTACTATTGAACTTGCATTTTCAAGATACCCAAATCAAAATTATAAAATATGATACAGCTGACTAAAAAGGATAATTTCTTTTTAAAGCATTGTATCCTTCCAAGGGATTATAAAGGTTTCTTGTACAATCAATTGGCTTAAATTTATTATAAATTTATTTTTTGGAAAATAACCTTAAAACCTTCTACCACAGCTGAAATATGACTTCTGTTTATCATGTGTTGGAATATATCTGTGTATTTTTTTTTACCAATGTGATGCATACAAAACATAGCAAAGTAAACCTGAGACTTTTCACTGTCATCTTGTCTGTACTAAGAAACATGTCATTTTGAAAGTACACTCATTTTCCATAAAATCTTCAAAACATTGAGTGTAATTTTTGAAAAATAAAGAAGCATCTGTTGGCCTCTCTAAGGGAAAACACAAAGACACATGGCTTTGACATATTTAGCACAAGTTAAATAACTTTTGGCTCAGCTACTGTGTCAACGATGGCAATTTCATTGCTTTGGGAGGTAAGTGTCAAATCGCCACTAAATCTAAGTACAAGGAAAGTGGTAACATTATTCATTTAGCAGCTTTTTGTGTGTGTGTTTACATTATCTGCAAAGTGCCATAATAAGTATTGCCAGGAAGTCAACTATTGCCCCTGCTTGAAGCATCTTGTGTGCGTGTAAATGTGAATATGTATATGAATGTACCCACCTTTAGAAACATCACAACAGTATATGCACATGGTAAAAAAAAATCAAGAATTTATAGTATAGAATTTAACACTATAGCTGGAGTCAAGGAAGCCTTTGAAGATAATACACAATATCAGTTGAGCCTTAAATGATTATTTGAAAAGGAGGAAAGAGCACATAAGAAGTGATACTAAAGGAGCAAAGTGATTGAGATGAGATTTTTTTTTAAATAAGATTTCTAAATTTCCTGGTTGGAATTAGGGGTTTGTACCAGAGAGGAGTGGTAGACGTGACTGGATCCTGAACATATCTAGCTTGAAGAACTAATAACAATTTTCACATAAAAATCAGTGGGTAGTTAGAAATGTGAACAAAAATGTATGAAAAAATCAGGTAGGAATTCACATAAAAAGGCAGCAAAGTCGTGACCATGGGTGAATCTGCTAAGAGAAAATACAGAGTAAAAAGAGAAAGAGGCTGAAGGAGCTTCTGTTTCGGGGAACAAGAAAAAGAAAAGACAGCCAGAGAAATCGGGCACGGGGGAGGATTATAAGAACATGACAGAAGCCAAGAGAAGAGAATTTCATGAAAAAGTGGTGATCAGGAGACACAAATGAAAGGTGAGTGAGGATGGTGATTGAGAAAAACCCACTGAATTGGATGACACAGAAAATGCCTCTGAGAGAAACCGCTTAACTTCAGGGATAGGCAAAGGGTGAAACCACACTGCAGAGGGCTAAGGAGGTGGACGGTGGGAGTAGAGCTGTTGGTAGAATCTGTAGAGGTTCTGGTGTAGAGGCTCTGCAGCTGACAGAGGGCAAATTGTGAGGGAGGGTGCAGGAAGAGACTGATTGGGGAACAAGCCTTGGGTACTTAGAATGGAGAGGAGCCTGAGGAGGGCACACAGGGAGTGAAGGTGGGGGCAGGGGGCAAACTTAGGGCACAGTGGTGGATTTAGAGAAGAGAGACTTGAGAGGATAGTGCAGGTGGATCTTCTAACAAAAGAAGAAATACTTATGTAAAAAAAAATAAGTGAATCATAAGTTTCCAAGAAGCATAAGTTAACATGGCAAGTGTGCCACTTTCAGTTATGCCCTGCTCAACCCAGATACGGGTGAGGGTAAACGAGGTAGCTCTGAAAGGTCCAAGGCATTTTGGTAGGAAGTAACAGCAAAATGGCAGGGGGACAGGAAAGGTCAAAATGAGACCTTTTCTTAGGGATGGGCCCAGAGAATGGTGCAGGGATAGTCTTGTAACAAGCACTTCTCTTCCTCCTTAATCTCTCAATTGCCTCATATGCTTGGAATGAGGCAGAGCATAAAGAATAATCTCTAGGCAATCATGGTGGCTGCAGAGAAGGTTACCCTGTTGCCATCAAGAAAAGATCAGCTTAAAATGAAACAACAGAGGTCTTTAAAACTCATTCGCTACTAAAAGTCAACCATTCACCAGACAATGATGGAATCTTTTAATGCCCCTTATTCATAACCACTGTAATTTCAGGGAGTTTCTGTTACAAGTTCCAGATCTCATATCTGGCTTTGACACACTGAAATATTTGCTAATAGCTGCCTTCTGATTTTCTGTGACAGCTTGGGTTAGACTGATTCTCAGGCCATCTTCACAAGGTTGGCAGCCGCAATTTCACTAATAAGAAGGCAAGTTTATTTATTTATTTACATGATTATTTGTTGTAAAAGTTTACTGTTTATTGAGATGGCACTTGGGTAGCAATGTCTTGTCCACTAAAGAACTTATAGTATCACCTTTTGTAAAGATTGATTTAGACTGGGCAGGGTGGCTCATGCCTGTAATCCCAGCACTCTGGGAGGCTGAGGCAGGATTGTTTGAGGCCAGGAGTTTGAGACCAGCTTGGACAACATAGGAAGATCCCATCTCTACAAAAAATAAAAAGAAAAAAATAAAACTAGCTGGGCATGATTGTGTGCACCTGTGGTTCCAACTTCTTGGGAGGCTGAGCCAAGAGGATCACTTGAGCCCAGGAGTTCAAGGATGCAGTAAGCCATGATTGCACTATTGCACTCCAACCTGGGTGACAGAGCAAGACCTTGTCTTGATTTTTTTTTCAAAAAGAATCACAATATACCTTGGTTCACAAGTCATACAAGCTTTTTAGAATGGGATGCTTTAAATTTCAAGTTTATTTTGATCATTAAAAAGTAATAGGCAAAATTACTGTTGGGTAAATGCAACAGAATTCCCGCAAGGATGTTGTCTCTGCTCTGTAGTCACAGTGGAATGTTAAGCACATGGGCTTTGAAGTTAAATGTCCTGGGTTCAAATGCTGGGCCATGTACTTCAGTTAGATGTTTAAGTTCTGTTGCCTCACTTTCCTCATTTGTAAAGTGGGGATAATTAAAATACCTGTCTTAAAGTGTTGTAGCTGGGATCAAATAAGATGGTATGTGATGAAGCCTGGCATATCCCAAGTGCTCCAGAGATATTAGTGCTTATTATTACTGAGGAGGACGAATGGTATCCACAGCATCAGAGGAAACATTGCCAATTCTGATTAAGGCTTTCAGAAATATCTTCAAGTACCTTTGGAGCTGCTTATGAACCTTGAGACTATCCCTGTGAAATCTTTAAATGAGAATAAGCACATACCAGTCAAAAGCCACCTAGATTTTTACCTAATCTGCATTCAGATCCGCTGGGGCTCAGGCTGCTCATCAGAAACTCTCCTTAATTAGGCCACTCTATCCTTTGTTACCAGAGAGTTAGTCGAAGGCTGCCTTAGTGAAGTATCTGTGTGTTCATTACCTCTGTAACATGAAGATGTCCCCAGGGAAAACCCACACTGATGCCACCTGCTTCTGGAAGCCACAGCAAGTGATAAGACCAGCAGATCAGAGGCACAAGCCCTTGTTCATACCTTCTTTGTTGTGGAGTGGTCAGATGCCTTATTTGTGGGAATTGATGAAAATATTTTGGCAGTTCAAAGAATTGTCAGGAAGGCTGTAGAAACAGACTTACAAACTTCTAGGGAGACAATTTGGCCACAGAATCACAAAGGCAGGTTTTGACCTTGTAATGACTGCTCTCTTCAGTCGGTAGAGGCTTCTGCCCACACAATTAAAAAAAAAAAAAGAAAGAAAAGAAAGCTCTACATGAAGACTGTTTACCTGTGTTGCTCACTTGTAAATTGAAGTCGCACATTACTGCATTGGATTGGCAGAGGTAAGTCACTTGTCTGCAATTTGGCTATAATGGAGGCTGGAAATTTGAGTCTGATTTCTTTGGGGCAGTGGGACTGAAAAGTGAGGCAATCATTTAGAATATGATAAACAGCAACCAACTGACAAATGTGCATTAGCTCCCCCTTTTATTCCACTCCCCTGAATTCTAGCCAACTCCTTCTTGTGGAAGTCTTCCAGAAACTGACTCTTACTCAAGGAAACCTTCCTAGACCCCCTTACACTCAACTGGGTTACCAGACAGTAATATAGTAAGGTTGGGGCCCATGTCTTTTTCATTCAGTGCTATATTTTAGTATCTAATACAGTGAGCTTGGCACACAGTAGTTGCTAAATAATTTTGTTGAATGAATGTAAGACTAGTTCTTCTCCTCTGTAAATTCAGCCTTAATATCACCACCACAAACAACAACACAGGCCTAATTTATCATTATAAATATAATTACTTATATTTATAAATACACATCCTGTGAAACACATTCTCATTATAAATTTATAGACAGGGCTGGGTGTAGTGGCTCACACTTGTAATCCCAGCACTTTGGGAGGCCCAGGCAGGTGGATCACCTGAGGTCAGGAGTTCGAGACCAGCCTGGCCAACATGGTGAAACTCCGTCTGTACCAAAAATACAAAAATTAGCCAGGCGTAGTGGCACACGCCTGTAATCCCAGCTACTCTGGAGGCTGAGGCAGAAGAATTGCTCGAGACAGAGGTTGCAGTGAGCCGAGATCATGCCACTGTGCTCCAGCCTGGTCAACAGAGTGAGACTCTCTCAAAAATTAAATAAATAAATAAATAAATAAAATTAACAGATTGATAGACAATATGTATTTTGGGCTGTACTTTATCTCAATATGATGTTAAATCACAAAACGATATGCCATTCACTGCAGCCCAGCCCAAGCTCAGGGAAGGTAGTATGCTAAGTATTATTTTACACCAGCTAGAGGGGATTTTAAATTTCATGTATGAAAAATCTCCCTCAAACATTAACATAGCCTGCTTGGCCTTACTGATGTTATTAGGCTGATGTCAATAGGTCAGAGTCATAGTTGCCAGCCAAAATTAATAATGCCATAAGTACTACTAGGCTTGCTTAGCAGTTAACAAAAACTTTGATATATATTATGTCATTGATCCTCAGAACAATCTCCACAGAAATCAGGGGAGATATTACAGATGAGAAAATAGAAGCCCAGTGAGGTTAAGTGGTTTGCCAAGGTCTTAACAGTGACTAGATGAAAGGCCAAGGCAGGATCTAGCCTCTCAGCTCTGTCCTGGGCATTCCCCACATTGCACTGTGCAGCTTGTGTGACATTGAGGCTCAGATTGCCCCAATTCTGGAAAGATACAAGCAGGGAACCATCCACCTACAGAGGAGAATGGTCTTCTTTGGTTCCGCCAATCTAGTATCCCAGCACAAACGGTCTGGGAGCCTGAGGCAATGCTCTGGGCAACAGAACTGTTCCCTCAACTCAACCTGCACTCGCAGAGCAACAGCGTGTTGGGAACACGAAGGTGAATGTGGCCCCCTGCTGTGTTTGGACTCTGTTTTCCAGGGGGGTTTTTTGGCAGTGTGGAAGGAAGGCTTTCCATTGACAGCCCCAAGTACAGACCAGGATGGACAAGAAGGACACTCCTGTGTCGCCCAGAGACCCAATTCAACAAACTGCACAGACAACTAACAAACGAAGGCCTTGTGCTAATTACTTAGGGGCATGGAAAGGAATAGAACATGTCTGTTGTTCAGTGTGTGTGTGTGTGTGTGTGTGTGTGTGTGTGTGTGTGTGTGTGTATGCATGTGGCAGGGCCTTGGTCTAACATAAGCTTCATCTTTTTCTTTTGGAATTGTAGCAACCAATATCATGCTTTGAAGGAGTAATCTTCAGAGCCAGGGTTCTTGGAACTGTTTTGTGATGTTGTTGGATTTGTGTTTGCCTGTGAATCAAGAACACAGGGAAGTTTTAAAGTGATGAGAATGACTTGCTGATGTTCCACACTGTTCCTCTTCCTTTTTCTCACTTTTATTCCTTTGCTGGGCTTCTATTCTGGACATGACATTTTAGCTACAGTAACTATCTATTTACATACCATGATTAATCTAACCTGGGGACTTCTCTGGGCTCTATAAAGGCAGCAGGTATAACAGGTGCAATGCTGATGGGGTGGAGGGCATTGTCATGCACTCTAACTTCAGTAATGAAGACAAATACTGTCACCCAAATTTAGGGCTCAGAGAAATCTTAGACACATTCAGTATTCTTTGGCATAAATCCCCAAGTTGAATGGCTGTCATTAATCACCAAGTAATTAGTTCAAGGTTATCGGGCACAATTAAAGTGAAGAATAATTTACAATTGGCCAGGCATGGTGGCTCACACCTGTAATTCCAGCACTTTGGGAGGCCAAGGCAGGCAGATCACTTGAGGCCTGGCCAACATGGTGAAACTCTGTCTCTACTAAAAATACAAAAATTAGGTGGGTATGGTGACGGGCACCTGTAATCCCAGCTATTCGGGAAGCTGAGGCAGGAGAATGACTTGAACCCAGGAAGCGGAGGTTGGAGTGAGCCAAGATAGCGCCACTGCACTCTAGCCTGGGCAACAGAGCGAAACTCCATCAAAAAAAAAAAAAAAAAGAAGAAGAACAAGGAGGAGAAGAATAATTTACAATTGTCAACAGTGACTCAATGTTTGCTGTAACCAAATTAATCAGATACAAAATTATCTCCCATTGTGGCTTAACAGCAAAACCATGCTGGTAGAATCCACGGTTCAGCCTCTTTGCCCCTGCAAGCTGCTGTTCATTGAGCTTGCTTTCTCAGGTCCCTGCCACTGCCCTTGCTATATGACCCATTTGGAACATATTTTGAAAACTTGATCTTCATTTTATCCTTTGCACATGATCCTTGGTATTTTCCCTCTGACCCTATTTCTTTTCTTTCTTACCCTCTACCCTGCCCCTAGGATCTGCCATAAAGGGCTGAACACAAAATATGTATGCTCAGTCAGAGTTAGAAAAGCCTGAATACAAAACAGGTTTTCTCACCCAATCTGTAGCTTTTAAATTTAAGGTTATTTTGAAAGTTAATGAGAAGTGATCCTTTATGATGGCTATGGTTCTATCCCTAACTCAAAAGCAAGAGGCATAGATTATAGAGTAGCAATTCAGCATATAGGCTCTGGAGGCAGACTGCCTAGATTTGAAACTCACATCTGTATTTCTTGGCTATGTAACCTTCGGAAAGTCACTTAATTTCTCCATGCTCAGTTTCCTTATCTTTAAAATGGGATTGATGATAATACCCATGCTTTATGTGGTTGCATTTGTAGTTTTTTATTTTTAGCTTTTTATTTTTTTATTAATTTTTATTAATTTTTAGTTTTGTATTTCATCACACAAAAGTACTGAGAGTTTTCTATGGGCAAGGCCTTGTTCTAGATGCTGAGGATAAAATTATCACAAGATGAAGTTCTTTCCTTCAAGATGATCACTTCTTAAGTACTTCACTTAACTAGGGGAAACAGTCAAACAAAAAGGCAACAATAACCCAGTGTGACATGTGTGTGCTAGGAGTAAGACAAGGTAAGAAGCTTTAAGAGCACATAGGATGCTAACCTAACCTGGCCCTGGGAGATCAGGGAAGGCTTCTTTGAAGAAGTGGCATTGATGCTGAGTCCTGAAAGATGAGAAGCAGTTAGCCTGGCAAAGAGTGGAGGTCACATCCTAAGCAAAGAGAAGAGCAGATGCAGAGGGCAGAGGCAGAAGAAAGTATAGGAGACATCTGGGGGAACAGCCAGGGGAGTAGTTCAGTGGAATGACTGTGGTGAGGCATGAACTTGAAAGGTCTACAAAGATGAGGCTCTGAGGTAGGAGCCCAACTGAGGGCATCAGGATGCAGAAAGCCAGACAGGCACCAGGGATCTGGAGAAGAGAAGAAGGGGATAAGTGGGTGGTCTGTGCCCACAAAGTCCAATAAGAGGGAGCAGACAGAGAACCAGCAGAAAAGTGAAATGCGTAAAATATTGATATTTGGATCAGAAAGCCAACAGTGCCAATTTGATATGGTATCAAGTGGGAGAGACCAGTGAAAACAGAGACCCAGTGACAACTATGCCGTAAGTAGGGAGAAGGAAAATGAACTGAGCATAATTGCAGGGGCCAGTCAGGGATCTATGGCCAAAGGCCAGTTAATGGGATGAGGACCCAAAGCCAGAGCAGAAGCAGCCAGAAACAGCAGGAGAATTGATATAAGTAATTACTGAGAACAGTGAACTAGCTCTAGCTCCATAAATGTTCTTAAGGACAGGATGACTGCCAAGATACGACGTAGGGTTTGAATTTGCTGGAAGGAAAGCAGAGGTTGGTGTCAAATAGCTCAAACAGCATTGTACTAAAACATACTTATATCTCAAAAATGCAAATAATTTGTTCCTTTCAAACTAATAGTCAAGTATTTGCTCTCTCTCTCTCTCTCTCTCTCTCTCTCTATATATATATATATATTTTTTTTTTTTTTTTTTTTTTTTTTTTTTTTGAGACGGAGTCTCACCCTGTCACCCAGGCTGGAGTGCAATGGTGCAATCTTGGCTCACTGCAATCTCCGCCTCCCGGGTTCAAATAATTCTCCTGCCTCAGCCTCCCGAGTAGCTAGGATTACAGGCATCTGCCACCACGTCCAGCTAATTTTTGTATTTTTAATACAGACGGGGTTTCACCACGTTAGCCAGGCTGGTCTCGAAGTCCTGACCTCATAATCTGCCCGCCTGGGCCTCCCTAAAGGGGTGGGATTACAGACATGAGCCACTGTGTCCGGCCTGCTCAAAATATATTTATAGGAAAGATCGACTATTGCATGTGACTAAAAGAGAATAATCTTTCTTCTGTGTGTCCCAGCAATTTGGTCGTGGCCACACACAGTCATTCCCAACATTGCAGTTAACAAGGCTCACACATACACATATGTGTGTGCATGTGTATGTGTGTATATACTTGCATAAATTATTTGAGAACTGAAAATTCCCTTCTCCTACATCTTTCTATTCCCTTTTACCTACAAGACCAACAGGGAGATGTCTTGGGACTCAGATTCACTCTTGACTGTGAAATCAGATCTAAAAATGACTCAGGCTGTCAAGTAAGTGGGAGAGAAGTGGAAATGATCCAACGGTGGCCAAAGTTCCGCTGCAATTGCCTCTGACGGTTAGCTAGTTTTCAAAATGCCATCGCCCTTTTCTTTGGAGCAAAGTTCCTGGTTTCTGTAAGTCATGGAAAGGAACAGACAGTCTTCACTGTAAAATCACAGAGTTCTATGCAATCGCTGGTGAAGCTCCACAGAGAATGTTCATCTGGTTCCACTGCTGCCCACCCACCTGGGTTTTTTTTCTTTTCTCCAAAGTTTTTCTGCTACAAAATTGTCTCCAGTGTGAGATATAGACAATGTATCCTGTGAAAGTAGTTTCAACAGAATCTCTGTTTACATTCTTAGAGCTCAATTTCATGGATATTTATTCAACTCTGCAACAATCTAGTCTTTTAGAACATTCCTTATCATTAATCGAAAGTGTTTTTTAATAGGAAATAAGGGTTACATTTGTTGTCATTATAATAATGATGCAATCATAGTCTGTTCTCCCATAATGTGTTTCTTTAATGTTAATTATCTCTACCATGACTGGTAAAGAGGAGGCTGAGGTCAGTGGAAGTTATGTGGGTTTATGCAATTTCCCCCAACATGCTAATGTTTTAAACCCATTATAGTCAAGCTTTCTTACTAATAGAGAAAAAACTTCATAATATATTAAGACTTTAAGATAAAACCTATATAATCTGCAGAAATGCCTTTCATTTGTGTAAAATGTGACTTATTTAGTGGTTTGAAAAACTGCTAGATTTTCTATATGTTAAGCTCTTTGGGGAGTTTCAAGAAAAGATGAAGCCTGAAGATATTTCTCTCATGTTAAAAAGAAAATTAATGATTAAAAAGGCTACCCTTGGATAGTATTTTAAGTTTTGGTTAAACTTCTTTCTATAGAAGTGACTGTTTCAAGGACATTCATTTTAAAAGAAAAATAAAGCATGACTCCATGGTAAAAGGCCACAAGGGTTGGAATGACTGAAATTTTATGGCAAATGCCCATGGAAATTGAACCATAATAGCATAATTTCTTATTAGGATTCTAACTGTTTGTGTTAGAGTCTTGATTTCAAACCTGTATTGGATTTAAATATCTTATTATTAATGCATTTTTCCCAAAGACCCTATTATTTTTAGTGTGCAATTTTTCCAAAATGTGAAGTTTTCTGGGGACACACATGGTATCATTGTAAGATGCCTATACTTGGCATTTGAACAAATAAGACAAAAATAAAAATTAAGAGTGCTCAGAGGTTTTTTTTTTGTTGTTTGTTTGTTTTTTCACATTGGCCTTCAATGATTTGAGTGCATAGACCTGCTCAAAGTGATTCATTTATACATCCAAGTTAAATTATGGACTGCAGACCAGTTCAAGTATGTTTACATACTTGAGGTATCTATTGAATCATAAACATAGTACTAATTTGCAACATTGACTGCAGTCTCATAATGACATTTGCCAGATAGACACTGCTAAGTGGTGTCTTTGCATGATCATCTCATTTGATTCTCATAAGAGATTTAGGAGGTTGATACTATTATCCATATTTTATAGATAAGGAAACTAAAGTAATTAGCTCGATAACATAGCTGTGTGTGTGTGTGTTTGTGTTTATTCAAGATTTGGGAGGGAAGGCAATGGTTAGAACAAGGTTATTTGACTCAGAACAAAGTCAGAAATGGCTGCATTCACAGATTTCTTTCACTGAGGTGACATCTTTCAAAACCCATCTTTTACCTGTCCTTTATAAATGAATGTTTCTTCCTCTGTGGGCACAAATGCAATTGCTATCACTGTTAAGAGCATGTATTATTTTGTTCACTTTTCTAAGGTGCAGAAAAGTCCTCATGCTTCTTTTTTTTTTTTTAGAACTTTTAAATAGCCTAAGGTTGATTGATCATACTTGTAACTGTGTCTTCTACTACCTTAGGTACTCGCTCACAAAACACATTTAAAATACTACATGAAGTGGGTGATCTTTCCAAAGCCACAGTTCACTGTGAGTTCCAAATTCTCATCTGCCACTGGCCTGTGTGCAAAATGAGTTTTGCCTTTTTAAGTTTGTTCCCTATTCTATGATGTGAATAAATACACATCATAAAACCCTTCCTGGGAGAAGATGAGTTCATTGAGCCAAATTAAGTTGATTGTAGCTGTCCTCTTACCTAAGAGCTGCTTTTATATCTCCCAGTTCTAGACATTTGTTCATCTGTACACACTTCTAACTAGAGATAAGTATATAAGGCATTGATATTGACTTTTGGAATAATGCTTTTGAAGTCGGTAGTGTACCTAAGGCAGGTTTGGCCTCTCTGTCCTGGAATCATAGAATTAGATTTACCTGCAGACTTCTCATCTCTTTCCACTATAGTCTAGATCCTGTTCTTTCCTTCTTCTGCCCTCAGGTTGCTTCAAACTGGGGCAGAGAGCAAACAACCTCTCCCCTGGGATCAGGGGCTACAATATTATCTTTAGAGAATAAAGTTTGGCTATTCCTTTGTCAGTAGGTTTTTGGACCTAAAGGCTCATTTATTCTTTCTGTTTTAGCAGAGTCTCTGGCCTTGATCCCTTATGTGCCTAATTCTGCATTTGTTGAATAAATGGACAAGTGCATGTCCTGCCAGCTCAGTCCAGTCTCCCAAGCCTGCCCCTGGAGTGAATCCAGGGGCATGATTTCTAGCAACCCAAGAGAAGGGTTTTAATAAAATGTCTGAGAAAATCAAATTTAAAGTCGTCTACAGTCTACTTGTCACTTTGCCTCATTGTGGGTAGAGTACACTCATTTTTCATGGTGGATGAATCATAAGTTAATTTAAAACAGTTTAGCCATGAAAATTCCTGTAGCATGTGCAGAAGTAAGATTAAATTTAAGGCAATAATAATTCCCTGCCAAGAGAAAATGAATATATTCATCAACGTACTTCATTTGAAAAGTAATTGAGTCACCATTTCTATTCACATTACCATCTGAACATTGTAAAGCTAAATTTAAAACTACGGGATTTTAAAATGATTTTTTGAAAAGTCTATTTTAATTGTCAGCCTTGAATATAGGACTTCGCATCTAAAATCTTGTTCTTTCAAAAGTAGGAAAGTACTAAATTTATGGAAAATTATACCATTTTTGTTATTGTTAAATAGGGAGACTATATCCTGCCCTTAAATTTTAACTAGAAAATGTGGGGAATGGAATTTTTAAAAACATTTCTTTCAAATCAAACCTAAGAACGTACTTTCCTAGGCTAGAAACCTAGATGTGTAAAAATTGTATTTAAATTTTCTTTTCTATGTCTGACTTCTACTTTGAGGCCCAAAGCCACCTGCTGATGGAGACATCAGGGTTTCTGTACTACCTGGAGGTGGGGAGGGCACTGAATATTACACACAGATGGGAGAGGTTGGAGACACGGATCTGTCCACACTCAGCATTTGTCCATGTTAGCATCCTTTCTCATAAAAACAATATTTTATCTATGTCATTTCTGCCAGATTTCATGATCCTGAGTATATAAGGCCAAAACATTTTTTAATAATAACATTTAAATCATAATAAAATGTAAAAATAATAGAAGTGGGTGTTTAGAAGTGAATCAAGTTTAAGCTTTTCCCACAGAGTAAGTTTGTTGAATGAATGAGTGAATGAGTGAATGCCTTAATTACCACGCTTTTTGGGGTTGGGGGCTATTTGCCCCTCTCTCCACATGACAGAACTGCTCTAAGTTTCTTTGCTGCTCTTCTCAGCTGTCAGACGGCTTGCTGCTTGTTTTCCACACCACCATGTCTATTCTGTGCTGTCCTTTACTCTGCCTGTTTTTTTCCTTTTGTATTTCTTCTGGCTCTTGTCCCTTTTCCCACGTGTCTCAGCTTTCCTTTATTGCCACTTTCAGTCAGAGCAGTCCTGTGCTTCTGGTGCCGGCATACAATACTTACTTGAGTTTCTTGGCTTTTCTTGACTGTGCATCTCTTACTTCAACATAGGAATAGCCTGTCATAGAATTTCTCCAGTTCCAGGGCTCAAGAGGGAGAGTGCCAGAAAATTGAGACTGTTTTCCCTGTCTTGGATTGAATTCATAAAGCAAAACCAGTGTTTGTGTGAGGGTTTGCTGTGTCATGCCTATAGGTTGTTTGGGTGCAAACCTATAGAATCCAGCCTGGGAAAAGAAAGAAACCAGAGAATAGCAGCATCAGAACAATGCTTGACATCATTTCTCAATCAAGCAGTCCAGTCTAAACACAGTAGGAGACCGTGCTAAATGCTGATCTGTCTCCTAAGTCTGCAGAGGGCTCGAGATTTTTATTTCTCCCAGAGTTCATTTTACAATCTAATTAATGTGTAAATTGTGATGTCTCTGCTCATCCTTTACCTGTGAAAGGAGACACGGGATGTGAGTGAAGCACAGTGCAGCCTGATTAAGGAAACCAAGTTCACCTACTTCTCAAACTAATATTTCAACAGGGACAGAATTATTGCCTAGAAAATTACTTTTAGATAATCAACTATCAAAGCCATGCCTTCAAGTAAAAGAAAAGTTAATTTAATTACTATGAAGCACTAATTAAACATAGACCATAATATAATTATCCTGGGCTTTTAATTACCTGAAACCCTTTCTTACCAGAAATAATGTTCATGGATACTATTTACATATTCAAATAGGTATTTTTGAGGAAGCCGAAAGAAAAATGAAAGAAACTGAGCATGTCAAAATATTTTCTAACTCCCCCAACCTCTGTTATTAAGTCTGTGAGTCTAGAGCAGCATTTTACAGAATGTGTACCCTGGGATGTTAACGTGTAAGGGAGGTTTCTTTGGACTAATAGGTTGTGAAAGCAGTGGCCTAGATAAGGTTGAGAAGTTTTATTTTATTAATTTATTTCTCTCAACTATTCTGTGTACAAATATTGGCTTTCTGGATATCTTTGTCCAGCAAATCTTTTTTTAAAAGTTATTTTTATTTTTAATTGACAATAATTATACATATTTATGGGGTATAATGTGATGTTTTGATACAGGTATACATCGTGGAATGAGTGAATCCGGCTAATTAACATATCCATCACCTCACTTTCTTATTCCACCAACAGCATACAAAAGGTCCCTTTTCTCCACATCTTTGCTAATGCTTATTAATCTTTCATCTTTTTAATTATAGCCATTCTAACAGGTGTGATGTAATACTTGATTCTGGTTTTGATTTGCATTTTGATCAAGATTAGTGATGTTGAACATGTTTTCATATATCTGTTGGCCTTTTCTTTGTCTTTCTACGAGAAATGTCTATGCAGGTTTTTTGTCTATTTTTTAGTAGGGTTATTTGTTTTCTTATTATTGAGCAGCTTGATTTTTTAATATATCTTAGATATCAGCCCTTTATCTGATGTATAATTTGCAAATATTTTCTCTCAGTCTGTGGGTTGTCTCTTCACTCTGTTGTTGCCTTTGCTGTGCAGAAGGTTTTTAGTTTATGCAATCCCGCTTGCCTATTTTGCTTTTATTACCTGTGCCTTTGGAGTCAGGTGCAAGAAATCATTGCTCAGACCAATGGGTAGCTTTTCCCTTATGTTTTCTTTTAGCAGTTTTACAGTATCAGGTCTTACATTTAAGCATTTAATTCATTATCAGTTGATTCTTGTATAGGAGGTGAGATAAGGTTAAAATTTCATTTTTCTGCATATGAATATCCAGTTTTCCTAATGCCATTTATTGAACACTCATTGTGTGTTCTTGGCACCTTTGTTGAAAATCAACTGACTATACATGCACGGATTTATTTCTAGGCTTTCTATTCTATTCCATTGGTTGATGTGTCTGCTTTTATGCCAGTACCATGCTGTTTTGATTACTCTAGCTTTGTAATATATTTTGAAATTAAACAGTGTCATGCCTCCAGCTTAGTTCTTTCTGCTCAAGATTGTTTGGGCTACTTAGGGTCTTTTGTGGTTCTGTGAGAATCTTAGGATTGTTTTTTCCATTTCTGTGAAGAATGACATGATAATTTTGATAGGGATTACATTGAATCTGTAGATCATTTTGGGTAGTATGGACATTTTAACAATATTAATTCTTCTAATCAGTGAATGTGAGATATCTTTCCATTTATTTGTGTCCTCTTTAATTTCTTTCATCAGTGTTTTATGGTGTTCAGTATGCAGATCTTTCACTTCCTTGGTTAAAATTACTCCTAAGTATTATTTATGCTATCGTAAAGGGGATTGTTTTCTTAATTTTTTTCCAGATACTTCATTGTTAGTGTATGGAAATGCTAGTGATTTTTGTATGTTGCTTTTGTGACCTGCTACTTTACTCAATTTGTTTATTAGTTCTAACAGTTTTTTAGTGGAGTTTTAGGGTTTTCTACATATAAGATCATGTCATCAGCAAACAGACTACTTCATTTAATTGTTTCATATTTGGATGCCTTTTATTTCTTTTTCTTGTCTAATTGTTCTGGCTAGGACTTCCAGTACTATGTTAAATAAAAGTGGTGAAAGTAGGCATTCTTGTCTTGTTCCTTATCTTAGAGGAAAAACCTTCCATTTTTGAGTATCATGTTAGCTCTGGGTTTGTCATATATGCCCTTTATTGTGTTGAGGAGAATTTCTTTGATGCCTATATTATTGAGAGTTTTCATCATGAAAAGATGTTGAATTTTGTCAAATGCTTTTTTTGCATCTATTGTGATGGTGATATGGATTTTGTCCTTCATTCTGTTAATATGATCAATTACATTTATGATTTGCATATGTTGAACCACTCTTGCATCCCAGGGAAAAATCTCACTTGATTATGGTGAATACTTTTAATGTACTGTTCAATAAGTTTGATAGTATTTTATTAAAAATTTTTGCATCTATGTTCATTAAAAATATTTGTAGCTTTTTTTTTTCTTGCAGTGTCCTTGTCTGGCTTCAATATCAGGGTAATGCTGGCCTCATAAAAACAGTTTGTAAGTATTTCCTCCTTTTAAATTCTTTGGAAGAGTTTGAGAAGGAGTGGTATTAGTTCTTCTTTACATGTTTCATAGAATTCAGCCATGAAGCCATCTCGTCCTAGGTCTTTCTTTGATGGGAAACTTTTCAATTACTGATTTAATATTGTAACTCACTATTGGTCTATTCAGATATTTTATTTCTTCATGATGGAGTTTTGGTAGGTTACATGTTTTTAGGAATTCATTCCTTCTAGGTTATTCAATTTGTTGGTGTACAATTGTTCATATTAGTCTCTTATGATTCTTTGTATTTCTGTGTCCTCTGTTGTAATGCCACATCTTTCATTTTTGATTTTTTATTTATTTGAGTCTTCTCTTTCTTAAGTCCAGCTAAGAGTTTATCAGTTTGTTTGGCTTTTCAGAAAACAAACTCTCGGCAGGGTATGGTGGCTCATGCCTGTAATCCCAGTACTTTGGGAGGCTGAGGCCAGCAGATCACTTGAGGTCAGGAGCTTGAGACCAGCCTGGCCAACATGGTGAAATCCCATCTCTACTAAAAATAAAACAAAATTAGACAGGTGTGGTAGTGCACACCTGTAGTTCCAGCTGCTCTGGAGGCTGAGGCAGGAGAATCACTTGAACCTGGGAGGCAGAGGTTGCAGTGAGCTGAGACAGCACCACTGCACTCCAGCCTGGGCAAAAGAGTAAGACTCTGTCTCAAAAAGACAAAAACAAAGCAAAACAAAAAAACAAGCTCTTGGTTTTGCTGATTTTTTTTTTGTTTTTCTAGTCTCTATTTCATTTATTTATTTCTGCTGTAATCTTTGTTATTTCCTTCCTTGTACTAACTCTGGATTTAATTTGTTCTTCTTTTTCTAGTTTGCTGAGGTACAACATCAGATTGTTTATTTGAGATTTACTCTTTGGTGTTGGCATTTAATGCTATAAACTTCTCTGTTAGAATTGCTTTTGCTGTCACATAAGTTTCAGAATGTTTTGTTTCCATTTTTGCTTATCTTAAGATATCTTTTCATTTCCCTTTTAATTTCTTCTTTGACCCAATAGTTTTTCGGGAGTCTACTGTTTAATTTCCACATAATTGCGACCTTCCTATGATTCCTCCTGCTATGGATTTCTAGTTTCATACCACTGCAGTCTGAAAAGATACTCAATATGAGTTCTATCTTTTTGAATTTATTATGCCAGATTGTGGTTTAACATGACCTATCTTGGGAAATGTTTTATGTGCACTTGAGAAGTATGTGTATTCTGTTGCTGTTGGATGGAGTGTTCTGTATATATATGTTAGACCTGTTTGATCTAAAGTGTTATTCAAATCCAATGTTTCCTAATTGATTTTCTGTCTGAATGATCTTTCCATTGTGTTGGGAGTGGGATATTAAAATCCTCTACTAGTATTGTGCTGCCATCCATGTCTCCCTTCAGATCTCATAATGTTTGCTTTACATATTTTGGCAAACAAGTTTTGAAAGCTGTATTTGTCTCATTTGTACTCAACTTTTTTTTTTTTTTTTTTTGAGATGGAGTCTTGCTCTGTCACCTAGGCTGGAGTGCAATGGCATGATCTCAGCTCACTGTAACTTCCGCCTCCCGGGTTCAAGCGATTCTCCTGCCTCAGCCTCCCAAGTAGCTGGGATTACAGGTGCACGCAGCCACGTCCAGCTATTTTTTTTTTTTTTTTGTATTTTAGTAGAGATGGGGTTTCAACATGTTGGTCAGGCTGGTCTCAAACTCTTGAGCTCAGGCAATCCATCCATCTCAGCCTCCCAAAGCTAGGATTACAGGTATGAACCACCGCACCCGGCCCTGTACTCAACTTTTAAATGGCATTTTCCTGGACACTCTTTTATGCCATTCCAATGACCAGTTGATTACAGCATCCAAATAGAACCTTCAGTTCACAATTTGTTCCAGTTTTAAATTTCTTTACATCATCAGCAGCACTCTTCAGAGAAATCATTCATTTTTTTTACCATGGCTTCTCCATTTCTGAGTTTATACTTTTTTGCATCTTTTGGTTGAATGGATGGTGGAGAAAATGCTGGGAGGGGGGTTGGGAAAGAGATATAAAATTGTTGTTCAGGACTTTAATACTCATATGTGATCCCCAGACCAGCAGCAACAGCATGTCCTGGGTGCTTATTAGAAATGCAGGAACTCATGCCCTATCTCAGACCTACTGGAATCTACACATTAACAAGATTGCCAGGAAATTCATATGCAAGTTTAAGAAGCACTGGAAGAAAACACTAGTTCTCAAACTTGGCAGAACATTGAAATCCCCTCAGCAGCTACAAAAAGTACTAATACCTGGCTTTCTTTTTTAGAGCTTCTGATTCAATTGTTATGGAATGTGGGCTAGGGAATCAGGATTATTTTTTAAGAAGCTCCCCAGTTGATTCTAATGTGCAGAAAACTTTCAGACCTACTGGTCAGAAAGAATGAAAGAGTAAATAGACCAGTGCAGTGGCTCTCAAACTTTGATGTGTATTACCATCAAATAAAGCAATGCAGAGGACCAGGTTGGTGGGTAGGATAGATCATGGGCCTCTGTTTATACCAAGTTCCCCAGTTGATTCTAAAAACACTGACATTTAAGAACTGCTAAACTAGGAGAATACATTACAATCATGGGGCAACTTTAAGGACCTACAAGGTTCCTGGAGATCTCCTTTGGGTTCTGTTTTTTACGACTGAATTAGGACATTGATACAAGCATCTGTGGGTGACCCTTCTATTACCTTACTATCTTATCCTCTAATATTTATCAATAACTGTGTCCTCTAGGGATTAAATTATGCCCTATTGTATGCTGGACTAGTACTACCAAGAACATTTTTTTCACATATGATCTTCAAAAAAAAATCCAAAGGTTTAAAATCATGTACTTGTATAATTTCTCTCCTTCTTTTCTCAGAACATATACAAAAGTTTGCATGTGAAGGTGTGTATAGATTCACAGAGTGTTAGAGCTAGACTAGGTCTTAGAGATATCTAATCTAATTGTCATTTTCTATTGAGGAAATAGAGGACCAGAAGGAGTGAGTATCTCAAGATCATACAGGAAATTGCAGAATATGAGCAGTACTTCTGATAATTTTTAAAAGTTTGAATAGGCAAATATAGCTTAAATTATTCAGACTAATTAATATGAAGATAAATTAGTCAAACAAAAGAACCAATTTTATGTGTAAAATATTTACTTATATACATATAATTAATAAGTTGCAGCCAGGCAGTGTGGATCCCCACCTATAATTCCAGCACTTTGCGAGGCCAAGGTGGGCAGATCACTTGAGGCCAGGAGTTCAACACCAGCCTAGCCAACATGGTGAAACCTTGTCTCTACTAAAAATACAAAAATTAGCCGGGCATGATGGTGTGCACCTGTAATCCCAGCTACTCAGGAGAGTGAAGCATGAGAATCACTTGAACCTGGAAGGTGGAGGTTACAGTGGGCTGAGATTGTGCCACTGCACTCCAGCCTGGGTGACAGAGGGAGACGCTGTCTCAAAGGAAAAAAAAAAGTTGCAACATAATTAAACCCAAATAATGAGAAGTTTGAACAAATGATTGTAATTTTATACTGATATTCTTATTTTTTAAATCAATTTTTCTATTCCCAGTTTAACTCTCTATTATATATTAATATAATCACCGCTAAAACTTGGTTTTCCCCCCAGTAATATACATAGTTTATCGTATTAAACATACAGACCATTCTGTAGGCAATTTTGTAAAACTTTGAAAAACACAATGCTTTAGTAACCTGATGTATCTGAGAAGAGGAATCAGACATAATTTTTCTCACCCAATTTGTTATTCCTGACTCTTCTCTGCTCCTCAAAGTGGCAATACCTCAACTTCTTTAAAGAATCTAAGATGATGAGCACTTGGAAATAAACAACCCTAGCTTCCATATTATTTGGATCAACAGCCCTTTTTAAAAGTTTGAGCAATTCTCGCCAAAGGAGGTGGAGAGTGCCAGAAGCCATGCTGGGCAGAATACTGAAGATAAGGTTTGTTTTTAGCATTCTCTTTTCTTCCACTTGCTTTCAGTGTCTGTCTACAAACCACAATGCCCTGGAGCTACCATCTGGTTGCTCAGAGATCACCCACTGGAATTGAAACCAGTCCTGCCTTCTAAAATACGTTCCTATTTCTCTCAGGACTTGTAAATTACTTGCTTGGGCAAGTAACTGATAAACTTCCTCAAAGTAAAATGTTAATTCATTAACGAGCGACCATATTATTTTAGGTTCTTTTAATTGCACATATCAAAATTGGTTGTGACTGGCTTAAGCAAAAAATAAATAAATAAATAACAATAATAACTTATTGGGAAGGAAATGGGTAGTGGTGGTGGCAGTGGGGGTTGTCTCAGAGAATTTAAGAGAGAGTTACACTACTCAGCCCTGGGAAATGCAGGAAACAGAGCAGTAAGTATATTTGAATTATACCTGATGAGGTGACATTAAAGTGACAGAGTTTGATTGCTGTGCTGGAGCTTGCTCATAGCAACTGGGGAGAACCAATTGTTGAAGAGTTGGAAGTCATCATATCACTGAATTATATTACATTAGCAGTGTTATTGAAATGAACTGAGGCCCCCTCACCTAGCACAGTGAGACCAAACATCCACACCAAGGTTTGCAGTGGGAGAAAGAAGGGTGTTTATTTGTAGGGCGCCAAGCAAGGAGAATTAGGCAGTTCAGGCTTAAGACCTGACCTTCTAGATGGCTTGCAAGTAAGGGTTTTTAAAGGCAAGGGTAAGCAAAATCATGAATCAACACATGGAGATAATACAATGGTTTGGCATAAAAAGGTTATCTTGAAGCGAGGGCTCATAGGTCATAGGTAGATTCAAAGATTTTGTGATTTGCAATTAGTTAAGAAAGAAAAGCTTGGTTTAAAAATTTAGGGTCAGTAGAAAAGAATGTTACCTCTGGCTCTTGGACTTGATTCCTTCCAGACCCCTCAAGAAGAAATTTAGAACAACGAATGGCCGTCAGAGTTTAGTCCTCAGTTCTCCCTTACCTGAGGTTTATGTGCCAGTGGATCCATTTGGTGGGTGTCTGAGTTTCTGAAAAACAACTCAGGGACATATGTTAATGAGGCAGGGAAACAGGGTCTGAGGCAGGGAACCTAAGGCCAATTCAAGCTGAATTCCTGGAACTAAATCAAAAGGAAAACCCCAACTTTCCACGCCCAAGTAACAAAAGGGTTATTCCCTTTGCAACCTCCCCACTTCTGTGCATGGCAGATGAAAAACTGAAAGTACCTCTGGTCCCCTCCTGCAACCAATCAGGCTGGTCATGGGCCAAGTCTTCATTTGCAAAGGAGTATAACTTTGTAACTTCACTTTTGCCTCTGATTGGTCACTTTCTGCAACCAATAAGACATTTGGATGGGGTGTAACTTTGTAACTTCACTTAAGCCTCTGATTGGTTGCTTTCTGCAACCAATCAGACTGATTGCAGGTACTTCATTTACTTAGGGTGTACACAAAATAACCAGTGGGAAACCTCGAGAAGGTATTTAAACCCCAGAAAATTCTGTAACTAGGCGTTTGAGCTGCTTGTGCCGGCCTACTCCTACCCTGTGGAGTGTACTTTCATTTTCAATAAATCTCTGCTCTTGTTGCTTCATTGTTTCCTTGCTTTGTTTGTGTGTTTTGTCCAATTCTTTGTCCAAAGCTGCCAAGAACCTGAACACCCTCCGCTGGTAACATTAAGATGTTATCTTTAACTGGCAAGTCAATTAAGGAATGTAGAAGAATGAAACTGGATCCTCACCCCTCGCCTTATACAAAATTCAACTCAAGATGGATTGAAGACTTAAATCTAAGACCTGAAATCATAAAATTTCTAGAAGATAACAGTGGAAAAAAAATCCTTCTAGACATTGGCTTAGGCAAAGAATTAATGTCCAAGAACCCAAAAGCAAATGCAACAAAAACAAAAATAAATAGATGGGACCTAATTAAACTAAAAAGCTTCTGCACAGTAAAAGAAATAATCAGCAGAGTAGACAGACAACCCACAGAGTGGGAGAAAATTTTTGCATGCTATATACCAGAAAAAGAACTGGTATCCAGAATCTCAAACAAATCAGCAAGAAAATATAAATAATCCCATCAAAAAGTGGGCAAAGAACATGAATAGACAATTCTCAAAAGAAGATGTACAGATGGCCAACAAATATATGAAAAAATGCTCAACATCACTAATGATCAGAGAAATGCAAATCAAAACCACAATGCAATACCACCTTACTTTTTCAAGAATGGCCATGATCAAAAAAATCAAAAGATGATAGATGTTGGCATGGATGTGGTGAAAATAGAACACTTTTACACTGCTGGTGTGAAAGTAAACTAGTACAACTGCCACGGAAAACAGTGTGGAGATTCCTTCAAGAACTAAAAGTAGATCAACCATTTGATCCAGCAATCCTACTACTGGGTACCTATTCAGAAGAAAGTAAGTCGTTATATGAAAAAGACACTTGCACACACGTTTATAGCAGCACAATTCACAATTGAAAAAATACGGAACCAGCCTAAATGCCCATCAACCAATGAGTAGATAAAGGAAATGTGGTATATACATATACCATGGAATACTACTCGGCCATAAAAAGGAATGAAATAATGGCATTTGCAGCAACCTGGATGGAATTGGAGGCCATTATTCTAAGTGAAGTAACTCAGGAATGGAAAATCAAACATCGTATGTTCTCACTTGTAAGTGGGAGCTAAGCTGTGAGGACACAAAGGCATAAGAATGATATAATAAGCTTTGGGAACTCTGGAGGAAGGGTGGGACGGAGTGAGGGATAAAAGACTACACACTGGGTACACTGTACACTGCTCGGTGACGGGTGCACCAAAATCTCAAAAAATCACCACTAAAGAACTTATCCATGTAACTGAAAACCACCTGTTCCACAAAACTACTGAAATGAAAAAAATTTTAAGAGTAAAATGAGTAATGCTCAAAAAAAAAAAAAAAAAAAGAAGAAGAAGAGAAAAGATGTTAAAGTTTCTGGAGGGAATAAAATATCTTACTACTCTAACTTCCTTGGCTATTGTTTTAAGTTACTGTTACCTTTGTGCTTATCAAGTTGCTCACTTACTTCTCTGGGTTAGCTAGGTTGCCTGAAATTTCCCTTGCAGGAACTCAAGATTTTCCTTTATTTCCATGCTTGTGGGCATTGTGGGGGGGTGGTGGTGCCAGGGTGGCACAGGCCTCTGAGAGAGATCCCTGCTCCATCTCAGCAGCTTGAAATTGGTCATGGTATATTTATGCCAAGGAAATCAGTAAATGTTACAAAAAGCATTACTAGAACAGTATGGCTAGGCTCTAAACTTGTTGTAAACAACAAGTTCTAAGCAGAGGTTGTTGAAATGACTCAGTTTGTGTACACTTTTGTGTTAATTATGTATGGCCAGCAGGACAGGGTTATAATATACAGATACCGCCAACCCAGAATATCAGTGGTGTCCTCGGGGAAGGGAATTTTTTAAACTGGGCAGCCACCCAAGGGCTTTCTGCACAGCCACTATCCTTTTTCAGATAATGTATTTGCATTTTAACCAGGGTTAAGCAAGTAGAAAATTAGGAGACATGACATATGCCCCTGGTGGGAATGAATTTATGTACCCAGCCATGACTGTGATTAATGCTTCAGCTACCCCAGTGGTCATGACTGACGGCACATTTTTAATCACCTGGGACATTTAAAAATAGACCAATGCCTGGCCGGGCGCAGTGGCTCATGCCTGTAATCCCAGCACTTTGGGAGGCTGAGGCAGGCGGATCACGAGGTCAGGAGATCGAGACCATCCTGGCCAACATGGTGAAACCCTGTCTCTACTAAAAATAGAAAAATTAGCTGGGTGTGGTGGTGCGCGCCTGTAGTCCCAGCCAGTTGGGAGGCTGAGGCAGGAGAATCGCTTGAACCCGGGAGGCGGAGGTTGCAGTGAGCCGAGATCATGCCACTGCACTCCAGTATGGCGACAAAGCGAGACTCCGTCTCAAAAAAAAAAAAGAAAAAAAGAAAAAAAAAGTCCAATGCCTGAGTCCCATCAGACAGAGATCTGCTTTAACAGAGTATCAGCATTTTTTTAAGCACTCAGGTAACTCTAATATATAACCAGGATTGAGAGCAACTGAGATTACGAGTTAACATTATTAAGGGATTTAGAGAAGTGAAACATTTACACATTTGTCATTTGTTGCTAGGTTAGAACAATCATCTTTTTCTTGGTAGGCTATTGTTATTAGACTTCTAGACTATTATATCTAGCAGGCTTAAATTTTATGTTATGGGCTTTAAGGTGAAACCTGATTCACTGGGGGAAAGAGAAAAAAAAGAGTGAAAATAAACCAATTAATATGTCTTCCAGGATCAGGGACGATTTTACTCCCTGGGGAGTGAGAAAGATTATAATCTGGGGCTGATGAACTGTAAAGAGAAGGCTGTAGTTAACTTGCCAATAATGTTGGGGTTAATAAGTCACACAGTCCCGATATATAAATCTTTAAAAGTTTTGAGACAGACAGTACAGATCTAAGGAGTTTTCACTACTGGAAAGATGGAGGTCCTTAGGAATGCTTAAAAGCAGCATTTACTCAGTTATTGATTCCATTCTTCCTTTCATCTAATAATTGTTTATTGGAAAAAGTATTATATGCAAGGAATTGTATAAGGCTCAGATAATACCTGAGATTATTGAGTTTCCATTCTAGCAGAGGAGACAAGCAATAAACAACTCATTACACAATTAAGCATTTACTTACAAGTATAAACAGTGAGAAGTACACATTTTATGAGAATGTACAACAGGAAGAACAGAGACCTGAGAAATATTCTGGGAACTCAGATGAGGTCAGGAGATTTGGGGAAGTAATATTTGAGCTGAGATCTGAGTATTTTTGGGATTTATTAAGAAAAGTTGAGGGTAGAGATTGTTTCAGGAAGATAAAATATATGGAAAGGGCTGTTTGACAGGAATGAGCCTAATGTATTTGAGGAGCTAACAGAAGTCCAGTGTATCTGTTTGCTCCTTCCCTCTGAGCAGGGAGTGAAGGAGGAAATGAGACAGGTAAAAATGGCTGGAAAATGATCATGCGGGGCCCTGTGGACCGTGTCGATATATATCCTAAAGGTAATGAGAAACAATGAAAGGGTTTTAAGAATAGTATTGTGTATTAAAGAATTTGGCTGGTCTTTGTCCCTGGTTCCTGGGAGGTAACCTCTAAATCCTTAGAAGTTTCTGAGTAATTAGAAAGGAGTGTCTTCCTAACTCACAGTGGGCCCCTTGGGCCACACTTGAGTTTATGCTAATGAGATAACTCAGAATGGGGCTGGTCATCCCAGAAAGACCAACCATGTGATTAGAATTCTGGGATCTTGAGCCACATGCTATCAGCCAGATCTCTGGGGGGTGGTGGGGAGGGGAGCTGGAGACTGGCTTCAATCAATCATGTTTACATAATGAAGCTTTAATAAAAACTCTAAATATCTGAAGCTTGAGGCAGATTACTGGTTAGTGACACACCTTTTACGTACCACAAGGATGACATGTCCTCCAGACACAGAAGCTTCGAGTTTGGGATGTCCCAGACCTTGCCCTGTGAGTGTCTTCATTTGGCTGTTTCTCAGTTTTATTCTTTATAACAAAACTGTGTTTCCAAGTATAGTGTTTTCTTGGGTTCTGTGAGCCATTCTAGCAAATTATCAAACATGAGGGATTGTGGGAACTCCTGGAGTTGTAGCCAGCTAGTCAGAAGTGTGCACGGCCTGGGGAATCCCCAAGCTTGTAACTGGTATCTGAAGTGAGAGCAGTTTTATAGGAGATTGTGCCCTTAACTTGTGAAATCTGCACAGATTCCAGGTAGTTCACATCAGAATTGCATGGCAAATGTGTGTGTGTGTGTGTGTGTGTGTTAGAGACAAGTGATTTACACAGTTCTTCTCCCATATTATTGTTTGGAGCTCAAACCTAGTTCTGTCACTTCCTCTGTGAGGCCTTTCCAGTTCACCTGGCTTCTTGCATGGTGTTAAGCTGTTGTCATGTGTGGACTTTGGGAGGAAATATATGGAAGGAAGTAATAAAACTGGGCAACTTTATCTACAAATTTAAGAATTCAAGTGGACTTTGGGAGGAAATATATGGAAGGAAGTAATAAAACTGGGCAACTTTATCTACAAATTTAAGAATTCAAGTTACAATACAAGAACTATTATATCACTATCTATATGCATGTACTATTATATCTATTACATACAAATAGATAAATCCACCTCTGAACCACCATGTTATCAAAAACTGGGGGGAAAGAAAGCCTAGATAAGAGTGTATTTTCCAATGTAGACTTTGGACTACTGGCACCAGAATCTCCCTGAGGGCTACCTGGTCCATCTCAGGAATCTGTTCCACCTCAGAGGTACCCAGCCTGAAGCTCTGGCTGGACTGGGACCTGCACATTGGCAGCCTTGGTAACCCATTCGACAACCCAGGCATTTGGAGATATTATTAATGATAGGGACAGGAGGCAGGAAATTCTGGGCAGAAGAGGGCAGGTTCGCTGCGAGGACCCCACCCTTAAGCCTGGAACCACGGCCCAAAGTGAGAACATGCATTCCCGTTTTCCCGCTCAAATGTTGCCTTTCCCAAAACCACCCATGGCCCACCCCACCCCCCATCCCTGTGCCCATTAAAGCCCCAAGCTCCACCAGCAGAGAGAGAAGAAGAGGAGAAGAGGAGAAGCAGTGGGATGTCAGAGACTACAGTTGGACATTGGAGATAAGCAGGTTGACTTCAGAGGGACGGCTTGATGGCGTAGTTTCAGAGAGGGATGGCGGGACTCTGGGGAAAGCTTATCTTCCTGCTCTGTCCCCCTTTCAGCTCCCCTTCACGCTGAGAGCCACTTTCACCAGCAATAAAATCCCCCGCATTTACCATCTTTAATTTGTTCATGTGACCTCATTCCTCCCGAATGCCAGACAAGAACTCTGGCACAGGTGCGAAAGGCTGTCACACTGACCCTCCACTGAGCTGTTAACACTTAAGCCGTCCACTGACAGCAAAGCTAAAAGAGCACTGACTGTAACATTCCTTCTGGGGCTTCAGGAGTTGCAGGTACCTCCCTAGACGCTGCCATGGCACCTACAGAGTTTTGCTCCTGGTGGCGCCCAAAGGCACTCGCCTCGGCTCCTGCACCACCCACCTGCGCTCCCCGTCCCACGAGGGGTAGAACGCAGTGGGTTTGAGTGAGTGGAATTCACCCTGGCTGAAGCTCCTGCCTGGGTCCAGCGCCCGTGCACTCCAGTTCCCGCCCACGAAGGGGTCGGGGAAATTTCCTGCTTCATTAACATATAACTACTGACCTAATGTAGGTTTGTTTGCTGTTGTGTTCTGTACAATAACTTTGAAAAACTATGTACCCTTCCAACACTTAAAAATGTTATCTCTGTATCTAAATTTCAAATATCTAAAAGTTTTATACATTTAATAGTTGTAAATGATATAATTCCTGGCATATCATAAATATTGACATTTAAAACTCATACTACATTTTAAAGTGTGTCCAGTGGAATGTGACTATCATGAGGAATTGATGCCTACATATCTACACTAAAAAGATGAACATGTTCTTTTTTAAATAGTTAGAAGTTCCTCCTTCCTCTCCAATTCATTTTCTCTCCCAAATTTTAGCCTAATATATTTTGATTGAAAGTCCTTATGACATCATAATTTTTTGAAACAGAAATATGTATGAAAATTGAAATATAAATAAAAATTTAATTTTCAGTGACCTCAAGGCTTAACTATTTAAAAAATCTTCTGATTTGCATTATCATTATAATTTTTATTGATACCCAATTAATCAAAACAAGGTAAGTACATTACACATTTTGATACATTATTTAACATGACGTATCTTTTAAGGAGAAGAATGAGGCCTGCTTTTCAATGGATGCATCCACATATGGCTCTTTATTGCTAGAATAAGTTGGGATTCAGCATCAGTTTTATTCCTATTTTAAATTATTTTTATGTAAGTGCTAAGGAATCTTATTTATATTAGTTGGTGGTTGGGGATGAAATGAGTTTTGTTTTAGCAATGTCACTCAATTATTTGAACTCCTTGCCACTAATATGCCAAAAATCACATAGTGACCTATCATCAAAAAGTATTTTTAATGATCTACTAGTTAGGTCTCCCTTTAATTTTGTTAAAACCAAAGATGTGGACCAGGCGTGGTGGCTCACGCCTGTAATCCCAGCACTTTGGGAGGCTGAAGTGGGGGGATCACTTGAGGTCAGGAGTTCGAGACCAGCCTGGCCAACATGGTGAAACCCTGTCTCTACTAAAAATACAAAAATTAGCTAGGTGTGGTGGCTCAGGCCTGTAGTCCCAGCTACTTGGGAGGCTGAGGCAGAAGAACTGCTTGAATCCAGGACGTAGAGGTTGCAGTGAGCCCAGATTGCACCACTGCACTCCAGTCTGGGTGACAGAGTGAGACTCTGTCTTGAAAACAAACAAACAAAAAACAGAAAAAAAAAAAAAAAAAAAACCAAAGAGGTGGAAAATCCCTGAAATGTAAAAGGATTTGTTTTCCGGTCATTGAAGGCATTCATTTTTTCAATACCAGAAATATTATTTCACATTTCTCTCTGACTCATGCAGGTTTCTCATCTCAGAAATTGTATCATAGTAGTATTAACCATGGAGAGAAGTTGTTCCTTCTTTTGTCAAGTGAAAGCAAAGGTGAAACGGAGGTCCCATATAACCTTAAAACCACAAGAGTGTTCTCAGATCATGTTTGGATAGAGTATGCCTGCAGTTGAAATTCAGGAAATTGATGCCCTGTTAGAACCACCTGTCTGCCTGGGTGTCCCTTGGAAAGCCTCTGTGGTTTCCCAGAGGTCCAACCCCTCCTTTTGAAGACCCTGCTCCAGTTGATAAAGTTTGTAGTACCTACTAAGTAGGATGGGCCTTTCCGACTTGTGAGCCTTCGTACTGCTGGCTTTTTGAAGGATTTATTCATGTTTGTACAACTGTAAATTTGTTATGATAGTACAGTAAAACATGGTTATACAGAAGGAAAACACACTGTAAACTTAGACTTAAAATCAAACACATAGAGGTATTATTAATATACAACAAAACAATCAGCAATAATTGTTTTAAAAAGCACCTGGAATTTTTTTTAACATCATTTCGTACAAATAAACTTCCCTACATGTAAGGATGTTCTACTTTGTTGTTTTTAAAAAGATATATGACAGAAAATCCTGACAACAGGGTTGGAATTTGAGACCAGCATCTGAGCTTCTACCTGGTCTTCATTTGTGTATTTTAAGATCCTTGTAGCAATTCATGTGGCTTAAAGGAGCAGTGTCTTGTCCTCAATCAAGTTCTTGTCAGGAACTTGACAGGTCCCTGAAGATCTCACCATGTGGCAAGGATCACTCAAACTCCAAAGAAGTTCTAAAGCAGCTTTGGTCATAACCAGCTCGACAACTCCAATTATCCTTTTAGCCTTCTAGGACAGTCAACAGCAGAGTTTTGTCTTTCTCAAGAAATATCATAATTTTATCTTAAGCCACAGACAGTGTCATGGTGTTACCTTCTTTACTGTGAAAGCAAACTTCTCAGCCACTAGTACACGCCTAACAGCCCCTTAGTATTCTTTGAAATGTGGAAAGGGACAGCACACAACAAATACTAAAGGCCCTCATCCTGGTGGTTCTCAGTCGGTTGTGTGCCTAAGAATCATGTGGGTGTTTCTTTAAAATGTAAATTTACAGTCCCCAAATCAGATTTTGATTCAATGGGTCTAAAAAACTGCCTATTACTGGGTAAGTATTATGCAGTGTTTCTTTGTGTAACAAAAAATTACATAGAAATGAATCCTCATTAGATGATTTATACAGTAGAGGTTAAACACCATGCAATTATGATTTAGTAATAACAGTGAAATAGAAATGTTATTCCTTCCCACAGCATCAAACACTTCCAGTGATAACATTCACAGGTTTATTGTGTATGTTTCTTCATTGAAGAAACTCAGCAAATTGCACTACCATTTATTTGGATTGATTTTATTTTGATTGAGTTCTCAAATCTTTTTTTATTCTTCCAGTAGTTCATTTTACTGTGAACTAGACCACAGGTAAAAGTTTTGTCTCAGTATAAGTTCACATACATCAAACTCAGGACTCCACTTACCATATCACAACTTAGCAGTTAACTTTAAGTTCCTCAAATTGGATATGATCTGATCACTGTGTTGAACTCACAGAAGAAATGAACATTAATAATAGGCCCATTGTGCACAATGCTCTTTATGGTCGGGGTTATTATTCTATACTGAAGATTAGAAAACTGAGACTGGAAAGCTTGACAAACTCTAACAAATAGTAAGTGGGAGAGCTGGAATAGGACCCCTTCTGCTGAATGCAGACTCATGAGTTGAGAAGGTTGACAAGTACACACATACCTTGGCAAGAAGGAAATTAATTTGTTGGAGAAGGAGATTCTTGTGGCAGAGAGAGGTATTTAAAAACATTTTTCTTTACTGAAAGCTTTAACTAACTGCGGAAGTCACTGAATTACTGAGGAACTAAATATCTGATGATGCTAACAAATTAAGGCTACCGCTTTCTCATTCTGTGAAGCTATATCTACCATTTTAAGTGTCAGTTTTTCATTTCAACTAGTTGTGGCTACCCAATTAGCAACTTTACTTCAACTGGCATGCATTTTGGTACAATCAGCAATGGATCATTACTACTACATTAATAAGTTGGGAGTATTCAATTTTTTTAATGAATACAAAGACAAAGATACGTGGACAGGAAAATCAGAAGACACATGGAGGGCTGAACCTGAAGGAAAGAAAATCCTGTCAGAATTCACATGCTATCTTCTTTTTCTTTTCTTTTTTTTTTTTTTCCGAGCCTTGCTCTGTCGCCAGGCTGGAGTGCAGTGGTGCAATCTTGGTTCACTGCAACCTCCGCCTCCCGGGTTCAAGCGATTCCCCTGCCTCAGCCTCCCAAGTAGCTGGGATTACAGGCACGCACCACCATGCTCGGCTAATTGCTATTTTTTTACACAAGGTGAGGTCAGGAACCATGTGACTAAATTCTATTTATTTTCATGTCTTCCCACTCCCTAAAATAGTGATCTGTATATAGGAGAACCTCAATGAACCAACATTTTGAATTGACTTTATGATTGAGAATATATATGTCCTTCAAAATAGTTCATTTTTATCTTGACACCATTTTGATCACCAATATAACCACATACAAAAAACCCTTTTGATATCAGTAAACAAACATACATTTCCAAAAATAACCTGTTGAGAAATATTTATATGATCAAAGCACAGAAGGTGTAATGAACATCTTTTACTCATGAAGCTCAAGACCCCATCCACTGGAGAAGCATAATGGAACACAAAGAGATTTGCAGCTGGACAACAGCAATCCTAAAGTGTCACCTTTGGCAGATTGAATAATGTAATTAATAATTTCAGTTTCTGTCTAAATATTGGTCTCCAAATTTATCAGCTATCTCAGTTTAGGCTGCTGTAACAAAGTAGCGTATTTTGGGTGGCTTATAAAAAACAGAAATTTATTTCTCACAGTTCTGGAGGCTAAAAGTTCAAAATTAAGGCATCAGCATGGCTGAGACCTCTTCCAGGTTGTAGACTGATGAATTCTTGTATCCTCAGGTGGCAGAAAGAGAGCAGGATTACTCCCCGGGATCCCTTTTATATGGGCACTAATTTCATTCACGATGGCTCCACCTTCATGACCTAATTAGTCTCAAAGGCCCCATCTTCTAATATCATCACATTGGGTGCTAAATTTTATCACATAAATTTTCAGGAGACACAAACATTCAGTCCATGACATCAGCCCAAAGGGATCATGAATGCAATTCAAGCAGTGTGGAAGAACATCGATAAAATCGAAGATATTTGTAGCATCACTGTCTCTTTGTACGTACAATGATATCTGCTACTTATAGCACATTTTCAGAGACTTAAATACATTTTACAAATCCTGTTCATGTTTATAAAGATGATTAAATATTTTCAAGGATAAAAGTCATAAAATAACACAAGCTGGAAGGGGCCCAGAAAGAATTTTTTCAAATCCTTTAATTTTATGCATTCCTCATTTCAAAGGAAGACTTTAAAGACATTTGTGGAAAAATCTGAATGTGTAGTTCTTCTATATTTTTACAACTTTTCTCAGTCTTTTGCAGCTATTATATATACCCCCAATTCCACTCAATTTAATCAAGACTTTCCAAAATATTCGACTTGGTGTTCATAGGTGCAACATTCTATTCTACCCATTGATTTAATAACATTTTATTAACTTAAGTAACTACCTAAAGAATACAACTGGCAAGTCAGGTTTGGAACAAATGTAACTGCCTCCTGGCCAGCATTCATCTCAGGGGACAGAAGTTCTATCATACACCAGGAGCAAAGTTTGCTTTGATACCAGTCAATATGTTTTACAGAGTGAATAGAGAGCTTCCGTTAATATAGTGAGTCTGTTTCTGTACCTAATTATTGTAAAATTGGTATGTTAGGTAGGACTCTTGTTTCAGCGAGTTTACTCCCCCTGCATGGTTCTGGCACACTCAGACCCATTCTGTGAAGCCAGGATTTCCCCATCTCTTAGATAAAATCACAAGCAGCTTCCATAATTTTCTCTCATTATTCAGAAACAATAAAAAGTTCTAATTACTTTATCTCAAAATACTGTCACTGTGGTAGTCAATATGTCCAGTTTACTGTAATAATAAAAATCTCTGACTGTATTCAAAGTTAAAGGTCTTCTCAACCCAGCTCAAGCCCACCACAGCAGCAAAGTCTGCAATGGGCAAGGCAGAGGGCTAGAGAAATGGAAAGAGGGAAAGACGTGGGCTAGCTGCTTCTCTACTTCACCATGTTTTGCTTCTACCCCTGCTAAGCCTGGATTCTGCAGGAAGAAATAGCAGCATTTCCCAGCCAGACAGATGCTATTCCTAGGACTGATGGCAGAGAAAAGGGCACATTAGACTATATCTAATTGACTTTGAGAGATGCTATGGATAAGACCCTTGGGGATTGTATCCCAGGAGTATTGATAAACCTGGGAGGAAAGTAGCTTTTGCACAAACTGCAGGTTGGCCTTATAATTAATTAAAGGAACGTGCTCTTTCCCTTTTCCAAAATAAGTCATACTATACAGTTGGCCCTTGAACATCATGGGCTGAAGGACACAAGTCCTCCTGTGCGTGGATGGAAAATACAGTATTTGCCAGTGATATGATTTGGATGTGCATCCCCACCAACTCTCATGTCAAATTGTAATCCCCAGTGTTGGAGGTGGGGCCTGGTGGGAGGTGATTGGATCATGGGGGCAGAGTTCTCATGAATGTGTTAGCACCTTCCCCTCAGTGCTGTTATGGTGATAGTGAGTGAGTGAATTGTGAGATCTGGTTGTTTAAAAGTGTGTAGCACCTCCCTCCTCTCTCTTCTCCTGCTCCAGACTTGTGAAGTGCCTTGCTTCCCCTTTACCTTCCACCATGATTGTAAGTTCCTGAGGCCTCCTCAGAAGCAGAAGCTGCTATGCTTCCTGTACAGCCTGAAGAACCATGAGCCAATTAAACAATTTTTCTTTATAAATACCCAGTCTCAAGTATTCCTTTATAGCAATGTGAGAAGGAACTAATACAGCCAGGATATGAAATCCACCTATGTGGAGGGCCAACTTTTCATACACACGGGTTCTGCAGATGCCTGCTGCAGGATTTGAGTATACTTGGATTTTGGTATTTGCAGGGATCCTGGAACTAATCCCTTGTGTGTACTGAGGGATGACTGTATTTGGAGGATCATGAATGATTGTCTCTGCAGAGACATAACTAACATAGCTGAAGCACCCTGTGTGCACTTCCTTCCTCTCCAGAGGCAATCAGGGGCTCCAACTTTATGTTGATTGTTCCCTTGCTTTTAAACTTGACTCCAAGTGTATATATTACTAAACAATATTCTTTGTCTGGCTTGCTTTCGACTTCATATTATTGGTATCACACTATATATAATCTGCTACATGCTCGTTTGCTGAATTATATTTGCAAGATTTATCTATATTGATGTAGCAATGTTCATTTTTTACTGTAGCAATAGTTCACTTATTTTTACTGCTCTATAGTGTCCAATCATATGAATATTCCATCTTGTTGATGAACATTTGAGTTGTTTCCAGTTTTCAGTCACTGCCATAATGCAATGAGCATCCTTGCTCACGTTCCCTGGTGCACCATGCTACAGTTTTTTGAAGTTACAAACCTGGAGTGGGGGAATCATTGGGTACGCACATCTTCAAATTTCCTAGAGACATTTCGAGGCCTAAGGTATTATTTTCCTCCAAAGAGGATTTTTAAATTACCTTTTGTCAAGTACCCAAAGGCATCAGCCCTCTCGAATCATCATGTAATTTCTGGAGCCAGCTTGGGGACCACAAGCTGGTCTGCAGTCTGTACATAGGCTACTTTCCTTCTAGGTTTATCCTTACAGCTGGGATGCAGTCCCATAGGCTCTCATCTCACAGTGAGATATTTACCAGGGTCCCTCCCTACCTCTGAGTGGTCTTGGACTCCAACTTCTTGAAATGTCTTTCAAAGTGATCCTGAACATCATTCTTCAAGATCTTGTTAACTCTTTGATGCATTTGATAAGGTTTCTTTTAAAATCTTTCAAGCTTTTTTAGTTGTTGTCAGAGGGAAAGTTGGTTCAATTTACGTAGTCTGTCATTATCAGAAGCAGAAATTCCACACTTTCAACCTTACTAGGAAGACTAATTTTCTGTTCAAAATGGTTTATACACCTGCTAACACTGAATAGCATTTCTATTGATGAGAGATATTTACTTTCCTATGCATATCCTTTTGTACCCTTTGCCTTTTGTGCTCTAAGCATAAATTATATACTCAAAAAATCCATACAAAAATAATTAAAAATAAAAAATAGCCTATCACTAATTCGGAAGGCAGTTTGCTCTCAGAGAAACTAAACCGCATGTTGTAATTGCTTAACTCTGCTTCCCTGTGTCCTCGCTAATTTAATATTGAGCTGATTGTTATGTTAGCCTAGGAATTTTTCTTATGGACGACAATGTCTGGATTCACAGACTCTAAAATGATTAGTGTTGTTGGATTAGCATGGATCAAAAGATCACAGTGGATGGAAAGAATTCAATCCGGAAGTCTTAATGTATATTTAAGAAATGACTAGTTCATTTGTTGCTATGGGGAAAATAATGTTTTCAATTCCTTCCCTACTAAGGGTGTTGTTTGATTTAGTAAAAATCAAAACAAGTCAGTATGCCAGTGTACCAATGCTGTAAGATGCGATCTTATAAGTAATCATATTAAATTTTGAAAATCCATTGAATTTTACTTGGTATATGAAAAAACAAGTATGAAAAAACAACCTATTATGTCAATACTATCTGTATACATGTGTAAGTTATTCGGACTGGGACCCTAGGGGACTGCACAGTTTATTTAAAATAAGAATTAAAATGTCATAGGCTGACGTGATGGCTGACGCCTATAATCCCAGCACTTTGGGAGGCCGAGGCGGGCGGATCACAAGGTCAGGAGATTGAGACCATCCTGGCCAACATGGTGAAACCTCTGTCTCTACTAAAAATACAAAAATTAGCTGGGTGTGGTGGTGTGTGCCTGTAATCCCAGCTACTGGGGAGGCTGAGGCAGGAGAATTGCTTGAACAAGGGAGTCAGAGGTTGCAATGAGCCGAGATTGTGCCACTGCACTCCAGCCTGGTGACAGAGTGACACCCCATCTCAAAAAAATAATAAAAAAAAAGTCACGAAGAAAAATACTATTAAATTGACTTTTATTGCCAGTAAATGGGTAATTTCTTAAAATCTATATATTTTTTTCTGACCTTCTCCAGACCCCTCACTCATCCCAAGTGTCTAGAACAATTGAAATGTACTATGTTCAAAACTAGGGCAAATTCCCATATGTCCAGGATGGGGTCAGTATGGCTCTTCCCTCACACAGAAGAATGGCCCTGAAAATCTCCCACTCTTTTTACCCTGGTAATTTTGTAACTATGATCCAAATACCACCCTGCCCTATTGAAAGTGTGGCTTAATTGGTGGATCTGCTCTAATACAAGTTCTTTTTGAAAAATGAACTTTGAATGTAATCAGTTCTCACTTATTTGTTTTATTTTTCTCTTAGTAAATATTTAAATTAGTAATGTTTATAATTGAAAATTTAATATTTGAAAGACTGATACCAAAGTGACTGGCAAATATTATTATTATTACTAATGTTTATTTACACTCAATCTAGAATCTTTTATATTCTTAGTAATTCATTTACGTTGGTAGTTGGATTATAAACTTTCCTAAATGTATCAATGTTTATTTTGTTGTCATAATTAAAATGTAATGACCCACAAAAGACCGATAAATTAGAGGCTTACCCCTGTAATAAATAGAAAATCAGAAGGCACTAGGAGCTAGACACCATAAAAGACAACAAAGATGGTCTCTACGTTTTCAATGGTTCTGTTTACTTATTAGAAAATTTTTACATTTGTATAAATGCTGGGGAATTTCAGGCTAAAATTTGAAATAATTTACAAGATGAATGTATCCACTTCTAACAGGCTTAGTTTATCACAATAGCTTTAAATATGTTAGTCTGTGAACTACAAAGTCTTATTTGGAAAATAATAATGAAACCTAATAAATTCGAGTTTAAATTGGTCTAGTAGAAGAAATAATGGCCAGTGTTTCAGAACCCACTTATCTTCTATTATCCTCACAGGGTTTCAACCAATACAGGAGTCTCTGTTTTTTAGATTAGCATTTGGTGACTTAAATTTTATTCAGGGTGGTGGGTAAACATAGAGTGGGTAGAAGTCAGGGGACAGAGTGAGGTAGAGGGGAAAAGTAAAATGGAAACTACTATTTAAAAAACTAAAGCAGCAAATTCCCAAAAAACGTTTTTATTTATTTATTTATTTATTTTGAGATGAGTCTCACTCTGTCACCCAGGCTGGAGTGCAGCGGGGTGATCTCGGCTCACTGCAACCTCCACCTCCTGGGTTCAAGCAGTTCTCCTGCTTCAGCCTCCCAAGTAGCTGGGACTACAGGCACATGCTGCCATGCCCAGCTAATTTTTTTTTGTATTTTAGCAGAGATGGGGTTTCACCTTGTTGCCCAGGCTGTTCACGAACTCTTGAGTTCAGGCAATCCACCTGCCTTGGCCTCCCAAAATGCTGGGATTATAGGCGTGAGCCATCGCGCCCAGCCTATATTTTTATTTCTTAAACAGAGGGAAGCATTTCAATTTTATTTTTAACTTCTTAATAACTTGTCTTCTACCCCCAACTGACTTTTTAAAAGGGAAACAAAGAACACCTATCCCTTATGGCTATGAATTAAAAGACTCACGAGAACTACTCTTTGCAATTTCATCCAACACTGACTTCCCCTGCCTTTGCTTTATTAAAATCCAAGCAAAAAAGCAGGAAAGATCTGCTTGAAGGAATGTGAGTTAAAGCCAGAATTAGAGGGGAGTCTCAGTCTCAGATCCAAAAAATTCTTGATGCAGTTTTGAGTGCTAACATTGTCACAAAAGTTTCAAAATTCTAACTACTCTCCTCCCCTTTCCAATACCACCTCATAAATACCATGGACATTTGAGCTTTGTGGGGATAGAGTTGGGGATTATTTTTATAGCTATTCCTTGCACTAAAAATATATCTAATACACATTTCTATAACTAGTTTGTTTCAACTTCACAGTATAGTTTTCCCTATAGTTAGAGAAACTGATCCATCTCTAATGGCAAGTTTTTCAAAATAAGAGTAACAAAATTAAGGAGACACAGTGAGCTGGAGTTCTTCCTGGAGAAGAAAAACCATAACGTTCAAGGCAGGGGTCAAAAATTCAGATGGTTTTAAGGGGCCAGTGGGCAATTAGGAGTATATGAATCAGCTACAGTAACATGGTTAGGAAGTCGTGTGCTGGCTGACTGGAGGAGGCACAGCCTTCTTGCATGTCTAAAAAACACCATACTGGCTGAACCTGGATGGCTAAATTCATCCACCACGACACCCATTTGTGGCTCTTTTTTCAAAAAAGTCCTACTTCAAAGGGAGAAAAAGGGATAGAGCTTATTTAACTGGGGGAGAAGATCCCTAAGAGTTTTACTTTCTTCTTTCTTACTTTTCCTAAGTAGATATTAAAAATAAAGCTTAAGGAATGGCCAGTCTAGTAAATAGACAAGTGTAATTATCTATTTATTTGAAGCTTTCAGAAATTCTCTCTGCCCAAATACTCTTCCTCTCTCATTTGCCACAGCATCTAAAACCACACTGTAACTGTATTGAGGGAACGGGGACAGTGGGGGAGGACATTAATGTACCATAGTAGCTTCAAGAACACACAAGTGAGTCTGGCAGATGTTTAGTTGTACTGCAGCTAACAGCATACATCAAGTTTATTAGAAGAGTGGAAAAGAGTCAGATTTTTGTGGAGCAAAGGCATTTCAAAAGAAATTAAAATCTCTGGCCAGCCAGTAACACCAACAGCATTAGAGTATAGAAGATATCAGGGATGCGGAATGAAGGAAAGCCAGGTGACTGGTGGTGCAGAATAAGCAACGAATCAAATAACTAAACTGAACTGATGTTACTGAGTATCTTTACCACATACTATGCTTGGTGCTGGGGATACAAAGATAAATAAGGATAAATTCATCTAGAGGACCAGATAAACTTTAGCTAACCACAATATTTCATCAATTCTCCAACTCAAGTTTTTTTTTTGATGTTTAAACACCTTTGAAATTGATGGCATCTTATGATGTTAGCATTTATTTTTTCTTATACAGTGGTATATAAAATAATTGTGTGTTACAACAGAAGAAATATAGTGTATGGATTATAAAATATTGCTAGCAAGTAGAAGGAACAATAGCTAAAATATATCGTGTAGATTATAGTGAACTATTGAAAGTGTTTAATCTGGGGAGTAACATATAAGATCTCTGTATTCATTTTTCCCTGCCTGTGCTTGTCTTCTTCCTTTCATTCAATAAGCATTTATGGAGCACATGCTATAGGTCAAGTTCTCTGTTAGATCCTGGGAATATAGTGGTGAAAAAGATAGATGTAACCATCAATCAACTGGATCTAATTGACATTTATAGAACACTTCATCTGACAGCAGCAAAATACACATTCTTCTCTGATTCACATAGAACATTTGCTAAGATACACCACATTCTGGACCATAAAACACACCCTGACACATTTAAAAGAATATATATCATATAAAGTGTGCTCTCAGACCAATGGAATTAAACTAGAAATCAATAACAGAAAGATAGCTGGAAAATACCCAAATATTTGAAGATTAATCAGCAGACTTCTAAATAACTTCTGTGTCAAAGATGATGTTTCAAGAAATTAAAAAGTATTTTGAACTAAATGAAAATGAAAATACAGCCTATCAAAATTTGTAGGGTGCAGAGAAAGCAGTGCTTAGAAAGAGAGAGACACAGTCCTGGCCTCATGGAACTTACTGACCAATGACCAAGTAAATAGAAACATTTTTAATTAATTAATTAATTTATTTATTTTTGAGACAGGGTCTTGTTCTGTAACCCAGGCTGGAGTGCAGTGGCGTGATGATCGCAGCCCACTGCAGCCTCCACTTCCCAGGCTCAATCGATCGTCCCACCTCAGCCTCCCAAGTAGCTGGACTACAGATGCATGCCACCATGCCCAGCTAATTTTTGGTAGAAATAGGGTTTTGCCATGTTGCCCAGGCTGGTCTCGAACTCCAGGGCTGAAGTGATCCTCCTGCCTTGGCCTCCCAAAGTGCTGGGATTACAGTTGTGGGCCACTGTGCCTGGCCAAAAACATTTTTTTAATGGAATAAAAATAATTATGATTACAGTGGTGTTAGAGAAGTAAGGGGATGTGACTACTTTTTGATAAGATGGTCAGGGAAGGTGACATTTAAGTTGAAGTCCAATTGTTGGCAGATGGGAAAGTTTTCCAGGCTGAGAGAATAGCATGTGTGAGGCAGAAAACTGCTTAGCATGCTTATGGAAATGAAAGAAGGTCAGTATGATAGAAACTTAGCAAAGAGAAAAGAGATAGGAGATGGTTTGGAAGGATGGACAGGGATTAGAACACATAGGGATGTATAGACCTCAGGAAGTGTCAAGGGAAGTCATTGAGGGGTCCTAAGCAGGAGGATAGGATCCAATTCATAGGTGGACACAAGATTCCTGGGCCAGCAGAAGAGACCTTTGAATGCTGGATTAGACATCACCAAGAACTGTAGCAGAGGCAAGAACCTGAGCTCCCAACCCAGGCTGCCAGTGGATTGCCAGAGGAATGTGTTTTCTGAGGTAATTTGTTTTCTCAAGGGGATGAACATTTGAACATCAGGCATTGGGTGTGAATACAGGAGTCCACCCTTATCTACATTTCCATGGTTTCAGTTACCCAAAGTCAATCTCTGTCCAAAAATATTATGTGGAAAATTCCAGAAACAAACAATTTACAAGGTTTCAATTATGCATCATTCTGAGTAGTGTGATAAAATCTTGTGCCTCTCTGCTCTGACTTGTCTGGGATAGGAATCATCACGTTGCCCAGCATATCCCCACTGTGTACACTACCGGCTCATTAGTCACTTAGTAACCTTTGTGGTTATCAGATCCACTGTCAAGGCATGGTCATGCTTGTGCTGAGCAACCCTTATTTTACTTAATAACAGCCTCAAAGCACAAGAATAGTGATGCTGGCAATTTGAATATGCCAATGAGAAGCAGTAAAGTACTTCTTTTAAGTGAAAATGTGAAAGTTCTTGACTTAATAAGGAGGGAAAAAATTGTATGTTGAGGTTGCTAAGATCTATGGTAGAAACAAATCTTCTATCCATAAAACTGTGAAGAAGGAAAAAGAAATTCATGCATAGTGTACTTAGGGTTCAGTACTATCTGCAGTTTTAGGCAACCATTGGGGGTCTTGGAATTTCTCACCAGCCTAGTAGGGTAGGAGCTTGGGATAGAATTTGTTGATTTAAATAAAATAAGAAAATGTGTATTTCTTGCACACTTGAGTGAAGGATGAAGATTTTTGCCCATTTTAAGAAAACAACTTTGCCTGCTGTGTGGAATGGATTCTAAGGAGGCAAGTGCAAAAATGAGGTGAATTTGGAGGCTACTGTAGTATCTATGCAAGAAATACTGTGGACTCGAATGAGGAGGATGGCGGTGGAAATGGTGAAAAGTAGAAAGATGGGAAATGCCATCAAATATTTTTGGTACCTGTGATAGACAGGCTACCAATGTGTTTCCATCACCCATGCCTCCTGGTGTTGTCTTCATGTGATCCCCTCCTCTTGACTGCAGGTGGCATCTGCCACTTATTTCCTCCAAATGGAATATGACAAAGGTGACAGGATGTGTATGATTATATGACTGTATTTCATAAGATTGTAAGGCTCACCCTAATGGAGTCTCTGTCTCCCTTGCTTCCTTGAGGAAGCAGGCAGCCACGCTGGGGGATCCCACATGGTAAAGAACTGCAGGTGGCCTCTAGGAGATGAGGGCGGCCTCCAGTCAACAGCCAGCAAGAAACTGAAGTGCTCTGTCCTACAACCTTGTGTAACTGAATTCTGCCAACAACCTGAGTGAGACTGAAAGTGGATCCCTCTCCAGTCATGCCTCAGGTGAGACTGTATCCCTGGATGACACCTTGATTCAGCCTCATGTGACCCTAAGGAGACGACCCATATAAACTGTGCCTGGACTCAAGGCCCTCAGAAACTGTGAGATAATAAACATGTGTTAAGCTATTGAATTTGTGGCAGTTTGTCACATGGAAAAGTAATGCCTGCCCAGTAAATTGCCCAGTCTCGGGTATGTCTTTATCAGCAATGTGAAAAGGAACTAATACAAATGGGGGTCTTGCTATGTTACCAAGGCTGATCTCAAACTCCTAGCCTCAAGTGATCCTCCTGCCTCAGCCTCCCAAAGTGCTGAAATTACAGGCATGAGCCACCATGCCTGGCCAAGAAATATTTTACAGGCTACCTCGGCATCCCTTAGTCCAGTCAAGTTGACACATAAAATTAACCATCACACTACCTAAGACACAATTCTTGCATCTCCGTTTGATAACATTTGGAATTATACTTTATCTGGATTTTTTTCTAGGTTTCTGGGACCACCTTTGTTCCTGAGCAATGTTTTTGATTCTGCTTTGAAAATTCTTCCCCATGGCAGAAGTTGCCCTTCTTCTTAAATCTCTTGCCAAACTCTGGCTTCCTGATTTAGATTTCTGGGCTTCCTGCTAGCCTGGGAAGGTAGTTTAGACAGACGACAATACAAAAAACAAATTCAAGAAGAGAAAGAGGTTACAAATTTAAAATATTAGTTAGGAGGTGCTGTAATAGCATAGGTGAAATTATTTGAAGCCTGATTAGAAGCAAGATAAATGAAAAGGAAGGGAAAGGCTCAAGATACCCTTTGGCAGCAAAATCAATAGGACCTGCTGAAATAGAGCAGTGAAGAGAGGAATGGCGGGAGATAACGCTGATGTGTTAATGACATCTAGCTTGGGTGCTCAGGTAGAAAGCAAGACAATAATCACACTTGGGATAGTTTATTCCTCCATGATTGCTTTTAAATAAATACGACACATGAGTATACCCACACCAGCAAAGATTTGAAAGGCAGAATTTGTTTCTGGAATTAACCCCAGCCTTTCCACCAACAAGTCTCTATAGCTTTCTAGCTGTGTATCTCACAAATTATTCACCTGACAGAGCAGACATAAATGAAGATTTCCTATAATTTAAGCTAGTTTATATTGAGGATATCCTGCTTGGGACACAGGAAATGCTCAATATAAACTAGCTCTTCCTATTGAGCTGTGTTCCCTCTGGCCCAGTCAGGCTTTTACCAGCCTCAGATTTCCTGCTATCTCGATGTCTCTTTCTTTGACTACATATTTCATTAGCTTTCACTGAGCTCTTAGGTTTCCTTGCTTTGATGTTGGTGCTCCTTCTAGGTCTAGGACATGACCACAGTACCTGGTCATAGATAAAGGATACTCTGCCCCTGCTCTTGCCTTTATCCTGTGCTTCCCCCTGGGTCCCATCAGCCTGAATGCCCAGGCCTGCCCTTCCCCTACGTGTGCCCACAGGAAGGAAACCAAAAAGGGAACCCAAAAGGAGATTGAGTTTGTGAGGAATGTGAGGAATGTGGCAGTTTCTTTTGGAGTCTGTTGAATTTAAAAGTGTTTATAGAACATTGAGATGGTTAATTTTATATGTCATCTTGGCTAAGCTATGGCACCCACATGTTTGGTCAAATGTTAGTCTATATGCTGCTGCTATTTTTTAGTATGAGTAATACTTAAATCAGGAGACTTTGTGTAGATCTGATTATCCTCCATAATGTAGCTGGGCCTCATCCAATCCGCTGAAGGTCTTAAGAGAAAAGATTGAGGTACCCTGAGGAAGAGGGAGTTCTGACTCCAGACTGCCTTTGAACTCAAGATGAAAACATTGACTCTTCCTTGGTTTCTCCAGCTTGCCAGCCTGCACTGCAAATTTTGGACTTGTCAGTCCCCACAATTGTATCAGCAAAATCCTTAGAATCAATCTCTCTTCTTCTCTCTTCCTCTCTCTTCCTCTTCTTCCTCTTCTTCTTTCTCCTGTAAGTTTTATTTCTCTGGAGAACCCTGATACAAATATTCAAGAGAAGTCTCCAGAGTAAGTGTTTATACAGATTTAGAGCTCAAAAGAGAAATCAAAGTAAGTAAACAAACAAATTAGAAGTTATTACTATGAGAGTGGTATCTCTGAATCTGAGGGAGCTGAGAAAATGCAAGAAAGAAGAGGTTACAGACAATATCAAACATGGCACAAAACCCAACATGATTGAGAAAAAAATATTTAATCTGGCAACTAACTAATCAGCATTTGCTTATTTGCCATTTAGCAAACAACATAGCTTAAAAAAAGACAAATGAAAGAAAATCTCATTTTCAGAATTAGTAGCAATTTTATAGGACTCACTGAAAAATTACATGGTTGTAGATGTTATATGATCCTCAACAGTTTAAGGAAAACTAGTAACGTTTAGATTTCAGCAAACTTTTACAAGACTGTTTATCAACATTCAAATCTGAAGTATATTGTTTTTTCACATATTAAGGACCAGATCAGATCAGCAATTAGAAGTATGACATACAAAATAATCACCCTCAAGGAAGGTTTAAATTAGGGATGAATTTCCAGTATTGACGTTCCAAGCACCCTGCATATTCTTGCTACTAATTCTGAAAATGAGATTTTCTTTCATTTGTCTTTTTTTAAGCTATGTTGTTTGCTAAATGGCAAATAAGCAAATGCTGATTAGTTAGTTGCCAGATTAAATATATACTTGAGTATATATTTTCTCCCATAAAATGCAGTAAAATGATTTTTAGAACTTTGAGAGATCCTTTCAAGAATGTTCATGAAATTTTAAAGCTTTTTTTGCTGTTTCCGTTGAGATTTTATCACTTGAGAAAGTGAATATGCCTGTGATGGCAAATGGAGAACAACAGAATTGGGTTGGGATGTGGATTCTGAGTCATTGGCCCACATATGGGTGAAGTGACTCCTTCTCTTGCATCTGTTCATGTAACTCTAACCTACGTCTCGGCAAAATTATAAACTACCCAAGTGCTAGACCTTCAGGTCACACCCAAATAGTCAAAATTGTAAATATTAAATCCATAGGTGCTTGAAGTCTATTACACGCTCAATCTTTTGATGATGTCCTAAGAAATAATGACTTCACTCACAAAATACTAGAATACTGTGCTGAATATGCAGGGTGCTTGGAAAGATCCATGTCAATACTGGAAATTCATCCCTAATTTAAACCTTCCTTGAGGGTGATTATTTTGTATGTCATACTTCTAATTGCTGATCTGATCTGGTCCTTAGTACGTAAAAAAACAATCCTAGGAAAAGTGTTTGGTTTTTCAAACTTACGGTATAACAAGTTTTGAAGAAGCTTCAAGGCAAGTAAAGGAAACACACCTGAGTTTTGTTGGTAGAAAACATTTTATTTTCTCTCTCTCTCTCACACACACACAAACACACATACACAAACACACACACCCCTCTGGAGCCACAGGCTCTCCTGCCTTCCTCCTCTCACAGCAATTTTTCTTTGGTTCTTCCCCATTGTTAGTGAAATAGCTGGAACTCACCAGTCTACACCGCTGATGATTGTCTGTAGGATGAAAACATGATGATATGGTGGTAGCAGCTGTCCATGAGGCTTCTGACAAATGAAGCTGTTCTTAGAGAGTACTTACCTGAAATTGAGTGATGTTACAAAATCACTGAAATAAAGTCAGTTGGTTAGAAAATGCAGTTCAAGCCGGGTGTGGTGGCTCACGCCTGGAATCCCAGCACATTGGGAGGCCGAGGCGGGCAGATCACGAGGTCAAGAGATTGAGACCATCCTGGCCAACGTGTTGAAACCCCGTCTCTATTAAAAATATAAAAATTAACCGGGCGTGGTGGTGGGTGCCTGTAGTCCCAGCTACTCGGGAGGCTGAGGCAGGAGAATCGCTTGAACCTGGAAGGCGGAGGTTGCAGTGAGCTGAGATCATGCCATTGCACTCCAGCCTTGGTGACAGAGCGAGACGCCGTCTCAAAAATAAATAAATAAATAAATAAATAAATAAATAAATAAATAAATAAATGCAGTTCAGGTTTGGCTTCATTGGAATTTAGGTTGACCTCAATGTATGGGAAAGCAAAGAAATGTCACTTTTCTCATGGAACACAAAAGACACTACCTTCCTTTAAGTGAATAGTGGAATAGCAGGTTATAAGATTGAGACTGTGGTTTGTTTATTACAACTCTTAAAATTAAACGCTACTGATTCTCACCGCAATAAAACTATCTTTATCCAAGAGGGAGGATTTATGGCATGGATTCTGAATGCCTCGGGCGTTGAAGAAAGCTGGAGGAAAGAGGTAGTCCCAGGCCTTAATTAAGGATGAACTCAGAAAACCTGCACAACAAAAAAAGCCTCTCAAGCTTAGCCTCCTTTTCTTTCTTCTTTGGGGTTATTCTCTCAGCCATCACCCATAGCGGGAACTTAGCCATTAACTCTAGGGCCATATTTATATAGTGCTGGGAACATAAAGGAAAAAAAAAAAAAAAGAGGCTTCCCTGTTAGCTTCAGCCAGAACAATCCTGGGCTGGGAGTCTGCTTGGACTGGCTTTGCCCTTGGCCTCATCGCGGTGGCCAGAGAGTGGAGGTGTTGTGTTCATCTCAGACTGAGCCTGAGCAGTGTGATTATTCATTTACAGGAGGAAAGGGAGGTGTGTTGAGCAGGCAAAAGGGTTTTAAAGCCCCTGGAGACATTCCAAATATACCAAATGATAACTTGATTTTTGGCAATATGCTTCTGTCACAATGTTAAATATTCATCTCACTCCCAAGTGCCCCGTGTCTTTCATAATCTAAATCTACGATTGGTACCTCAATTATTATTTTTTGTTCTTAATTACAATCAATATTACTTGAGGCTTCCTCATGATTGCTTTATTTCTTTTTTATTTGTTCAACCTCAGTACAGTTTAATATTTATTGCAGATATTGGGACTGGCTCACTCAGCATCTCTTCCAAACGCTTTTCAGAATTTCTCACACCACTGCAGAGTCGGGAAAGCAAACACTTTATTTTCCAGACTCCTTGCTCCTAGATTCTAGATGTGCTTTAGGCTCTGCCAAACAGTAGCACTGGTGGGAGACTTGAATTTGGAATTGAGTTCGGTAGGGAGACAGGCAGCTCTTGAGCTATTCATTTTGTGGGGAAAGATTGTGGCACACATGGTATGGTTCTGGAGCCAGCAATTGTGGCAGAGGCTGCCCAATTTAGCAGATGGCTCCTGGATCATGGCAAGAGAAGCAGTTTCACTGGTGGCCAAGTTCTACATTGTGGTTTTGCGATTTGTTTCTGGAAGCTCAGTCTAGTGTATTTTTTAAGCCTTCCCAATGATTATGTAAGTCATGTAATAGCCTGCAATAAATCCTTTTCTGATTAAATAGCTTAGTGATTCTGTGCTCTGCCATTGAACCCTGACACAACATAGAAATTAGTTTTTAAAATGTCATTGATCTTTTTGATTGTGTTATTTTTCTTTTTCTTATTTATAATTGCATGGATACAAAACATGAAATGAGGTTGGCATTATTTATTGCTTTGATGAGCAGGTGAATTAGATGATCACAGTTGCTAACTGATGCTTGGTTAGTTAGACCCATAGGAAACACCTGCTGTGGTTCAACAAGCTGAGGCTGGAGGTCTTCCATTGGCCCCTATAGGTCCACTCCTCACCCTTCTCTATCCTGCTCTGTGCCCTGGGACTGCCTAGCAGGAATGGCTTTCTGTGTTCCCTGGCTTTGCCCATGGGGAGACTTGATTTATGCTGGTTGCCCGTCCCTCCAACCCCAAGTCTTTAGGTTACCATTTACTTTCTCTTTCAAAAGTGTCCTAGTTGATGTAATCCTCCTTTCTGCTTAGAGTTTGTACTCTCTAAACAATGAACACTTATTAATTCCTTACTATACAGTTCCTCTGTTTTGCCAACTGAGAATGTATAGTCCAAAACTCACGAGCAGAATGGCCACTCTGGTGCTGTAGCAGTCTGCTTTTGCCCCTGGAGTTTGGTGAGGTCCGGGGTCTTATCTCACAACTACAAAATAGGCACACAGACATGGAGGGTGAGTAGGGCAGAGTAAAATTTATTAAGCAAAAGGAAAGCTCTCAGCGAAGAGAGGGGTCCTGAAAGCAGGTTGCCAGTAAGGTGTCTGTGTTCTGTGTCTTTTATGTGGCAGAAGCCAGGAAGTCTTCTGTGGGTTTTGCCCACATGGGAGGGATAAAATTCCCTCCTGGGGTACTATATCTACGCATGCCTAAGGTTGACCAAAGTGACTCCAACTGGTTGAATGCCTAAGTGAAACCCATGGTGGGAGGTGCCTAAAACCACAACGCTAATGTTATGTTAATGGCATTATAGTGAGCTGGGTCAAATTAAGGACATTTAGGTTGATTTGTTGCACCTGTGCCTAAGTTGAGACCGTCCCTGCTGAGCAACATCCTGGCATAAGGGCAAGTTCTTAACCACATTTCTTCCTGTTAGCTGCAGAGGCGGGGTAGGTGCTGTCCTGCAGTTGTTCCTGTGAACATTGTTCCTTTCTGTCCCTTCTCCCTAGACCCTCCATCTCTATCTGCCTATCCAGCCCCTAACTCCTCTCTCAGTGCTTTCCCTCCAGTACATACCCATATTTTAATTTTCAAGTGTGCAATTTTCACATGTATAATTCGTTAAGAAAGAATGCAAGGGAACGATTCAGATAGTCATCAACAAACTGCAGCTGAGTCCAGACTCTGTCTACCTTTCTTCCCTCTTCTGTTTGCATCATCTCCAATAGTTTTTCTAGGATCCAAAACTGATACTGATGCTGCCCAGTTTTTAGTGCTGGCCCTTTGAGGTTCACTGATTCTCCTACATTTTCTGGCTAACGTGTGGAAAATCTGCTTTGTTCCTAGTACAACAGTGATAAAATAATTTTTTATTCCCCTAAATTCCCAAAAGTAGCTTATACTTGCCATGAAGTTTAGGCTATATCTCGATCTCTATCTTTCCATTTATCTATCCATCCATCCGTCTATCCACACATACATATATGTGTCTATTTATCTCTCAAGATTTACAGTATCAGAATTTTTCAGAGTGTGGCTCAGGAATCTTTTTTCTGTTAAGCAAGTTTCTTAAGCATTGTGATGTATTTTTTTGCTTCAATTTACTTATTGCATCTGTTAATAAATTACTGCTTACAAAAACAGTAAAGAAAAAAAAGAATTAAAAACACCTTAATGGCTGAGTGTGTCTGTAATCCCAGCACTTTGGGAGGCCGAGGTGGGTGGATAATTTGAGGTCAGGAGTTCAAGACCAGCCTGACCAACACGAAGAAACCCCATCTCTACTAAAAGTACAAAAATTAGCCGGATGTGGTGGCGCATGCCTGTAATCCCAGCTACTCAGGAGGCTGAGGCAGGAGAATCGCTTGAACATGGGAGGCAGAGGTTGCTGTGAGCCGAGATCACACCATTGCACTCCAGCCCGGGCAACAAGAGCAAAATCCCATCTCAAAAAAAAAAAAAATAAAAAACAAAACAAACAACAACAACAACAACAACACCTTAATAGTTTGGGTGTTTTATTTAGCAGTGCATTTACAAAGATCAAATTAGTGACATAAACTTTGAGTTTTCTATTTTCATCTTTTAGAATGGGAACAGTCAGAATGCTAAACTCACACAGATTTTATAAAAGTTTAGCAATCTACCACCAGGACTGGAAAACCAAGGGAAAAAACAAATCTAACACAATGCTACAGAAACAGAAAAGCCCAGAATTCTTGCTAATTTAACTGAAGTTTAATTTTGACATCTTTGGCTGATCCAACCACTCAGTCTTGGTCTCTTTCCCTTCTCTTATGGACAGGGAGTTAGGTAATAAAAATCAGCCAAAGATTCTCAAAGTTCTGCAGAGGTAGACATGGGCTGGTCTTGCTGCCAGAGCTGGTTAGTACTTTGGGTCTTTCTAGAATATTTGGTGTTAGGCCTAGATAACTCAGCTACATCTGTAGTGCTTCTCTGTGGCTGCTCAGTTTATAATTCAGGTCTTGCTCGGACCCCTAGTCCCAAGGACACCTTTTCCTTTGTCTTTCTGTTAAAAGTCTCTTCAACTTTGAGCTTCCATTGGGCCTATACTATTTTCTCTAGACTGTAAAGGCTCTTTCTACCTTTAATCATCTTCTTCACCGATGTTCAAATCCAGTTATCGGGGCTTGGTCTCTTTGTTGGTCAGGATGTCAGCTGCCTTCTTTCTCCTGAATTTGGCATCACTTCTGATGAGCATAAGCTAATTCATTTTTCCATCAGGAAAAAAGCTATCATTGATTTCTCATGAATATCTCTTATTTGGGAGATATTCCTATTTTCAGCTCAATGAAGAACCAAATCTTTCTAGTCTCTAGAATCTAGTCACTTCTGTAATTTCTTCCCAATTATCCACTCACCAGTTATTTTTTTGATATATGTCTCCTTCCCTGCCTCAAAAACACAGACTATGCCAATCCTAAGATTATAATAGTAGAAATATCTTCAATGTGCAGTAACATTAGTGTGGCAGACGTAATCTAAGTTGCCCCCATGATCCTTGCCTCCTGGTATTCATTCTCTTGCATAATTTCCTTTCTTTTAGTGTGAGAGAAACCTGTGACTTGCTTCTAACCCATAGGATATGGCAAGGAACTAGTCATATCTGAGAGCAGCCTCCAGAAAACAGTCAGCAAAACACTGAGGTTCTCAATCCGATAGTCAATGAGGAACGGAATGCTGGAACAATGATGTGAGCTTGGAAGCAGATCCTTCCCTTCTGCTGGGCCTCAGGTGAGACTGCAGCTCCAGTCATCATCTTGATTGCAGCCCACAGAAACTACCAACCCACAGAAACTGTGAGTTAATAAATGTGTTGTTTTAAGTTGATATGTTCGTATTATTGATACACAATAATAGATAACTAATAAAATTAACAATAAGAGACACTTTTCCTCCAAAGGAAGGAAATGGGCCATTTTCTTAGACAAGATAGTAAAAAGTGACAAGGAAAACTTCCTAAACAAATACCATAACAGTTGGATTCACTAAAAAAACATTATAACACGAGAACACATATTTGAAATGATTTAGCTCTTTATGGCTTGATCTGTAAGGCTATCTTTTAGAATTTCTTTTAGCTAGATATAACAGAATGCTAACTACAGTTTGTTAAACAAGTAAGGTAAGGTGTTTATCTTCCTCGTGTATGAAGATGCCTTATGCAGGCAGTCCAGGCTTTTTTTTTTTTTTTTTTTTTTTTTTTGAGATGAGTCTTGCTGTGTCGCCAGGCTGGAGTGCAGTGGCACAATCTTGGTTCACTGCAACCTCCGCCTCCTGGGTTCAAGGGATTCCCCTGCCTCAGCCTCCCAAGTAACTGGGACTACAGGCACGTACCACCACGCCAGGCTAAATTTTTGTATTTTAGTAGAGCTAGGGTTTCACCATGTTGGCCAGGACGGTCTCGATCTCCTGCCCTCATGATCTTCCTGCCTTGGCCTCCCAAAGTGCTGGGATTGCAGGCGTGAGCCACCGCGCCTGGCCTAGAGGTCATTTTAATTATTTCCCTAAACCTGCCTATTAGACTACTCTTAAAATTTTTCAAAGGCTTAGAGATTATCTTGCATTTTAAAATGTTTATGCCTAACCTGTTGCCCTTCTCTTCAATTTGATAGCTAGTATTTCTTTGTCTCAAAGGGCCTCTAAACACTTCATTTGTTCATCCTTTAGACAGCTTTGTAAATAAAACCAAGCATTCCTCCTATGGTCCAGACAGCTTCTTAAGGACAGATAAAGTCAGCATTCCTAAGCACCAGGGTAGCCAAGGGAGTGTTGTAGGTTTATAGGGGTAAGATAATGTCTCTTTCTTCCACTTCCCACCACTTAGTTCAAACCCATAAGTTTAAATGAGATAAGGAGAACTGTCTCTTAGGAAGGGTTGGGAAAGAAAAAAAAGAAAGGCTGTGGTGGCCTGAAGACCACTTGAGTCATTTCTTCCATAATCACAATCTAATTTTCCAATAAATTGCAAGCATTCCTAGAACCACAGACTTCACTTAAGCCAAACTCTGTCAATTTCACACTGCCATGTATGGATGAGCATAAATGAGTTTCTCTTTTCAGGCCCCAATTGTATATACTTTACAGAACTTCATTGAGAAAGTTATTCGTTTCTTTCCTTTTCTCCTTTGTATCATAGCTCATTTAATTTCAATATAATAAAATCCATTAACCTTCTAGAAACTAAGGTTTTGAAAAGTTATTTTTCCCATGTTTAGTTATTGCAACAGATATTCATTATAGCTAAGGCAAGACAGTTAGTAGCATAACACCATGGTCCCTCAAAAAATAACAATAAACAAATCTACATATTTTTCATCCCAATATTTTTATCATTCCTTTAGGCATATGCAAAGATCATGTTCACTCCTGGCTGGATAATTCATTCTTTCTTTGTGAAATAGCTGTGGCAGAGGGAGCCATAAATAAAATAAAGCCTCCTAAACAAAGGTTTGCTTTAATCTGTTCATATTGACAATATCTAGTAAATTCTGATATTTCAAACAACTCACCATAACGGGTATAGATCTGGGTTTTTAAGAAATTGACATGATTTATCCAGACACATTTGTGGGTTTTCTTTGAAATAGTAGAGCTTTACTGACTATGACACTTTGCATTTTAAAGAAATTTCATTGCTTTCTCTTGTGTGTCATAGATAATTTTTATATAACTGAATTGTGATTCTCCAGTAGATAAATGGACAAGAAACATAAACATATAATTCTCAAAAGAGAAAACACAAAGCAAAAACGGCTAATTAACATATGTTCAGTGCATATATTCAGTCTCATTAGTGATGAAAGAAATACAAATTTAAGAAATATGTCATGGTGACTTACCTCCTTGTTGACACGAGCAAAGGTAAAAGCAACAGGAATACAGAAGACTGGCTAGAGAGCAGTTAGATGGGCCTGTCACCTACTGAGGAAGGTTGGAGACAGGTGGATTCCCTGGGTTCTGTAAGGCTGCAAGAACTGGAAACATGCTCAGGTTACCTTAGACAGCAGTATCTTGTGAAATAAATGCCTGAGGGAGGGAAAATGGGAAACATGTGATCAGTCCTCGTGGCACCTAGAATGTTCTTCAGGATCCACAATTCTAGAAGTTCAAGGGCAGCTGTGGTCACTCAACTTGCTTGAGTTGTTCCTACAGAATCTGGCATACATTGCTCGCTCCCATAGTGCTCTGTTGTATGGTAATACAGGACTCTCTCTGAAGACTGACTCCAACTGGCTAAATCAAAAAGGAAAGCATTGGTCCTCTTGAATGGAAGGTCTAAGGACAGGATTTGCTCAGGACAGCTGGAGCTGAGGGCTTTAGTGGAGGTATTCTCTGTCTCTGTCAGCCCTGCTGTCCTTTGAACTGGCTTCACTTTAAAGCAGGCTTTTTCCATGTGGTGGCCCCTGGTAGGTCACTTCACATCTCTAATCCTGTTTCCTCATTCTAGAAAAATGGAGCTACTAGCCACCTGCATAAGTACAATGTGAGGATCCCATGAGATAGACTATATGTAAATGCTTTCAAGCTGCCACATTTCAGAGGACTTTATTATTTGATATGAGCTCAGTGGCCTGTTTTGGAACAGTCTTTAACATGGCATCTGTACCGTCTTCCCTGTTTCTGATTATTAATAAGATGGTATTGCTTTTGTTAAGCAAGCCTGCTCTGCAACTTGGCACAGAGGGGGAAAAAAGTCATCCTCTTTATCAAGAATATCAAGAATGAGGGGCATTATTATTTTTTTTTAAATTGGCATTTAAAAAAATTAAGTTCTAAGGCCCTGGGAGCCTATGGAAGAGTCTCAAGGACCACAATGTGTGTGGAAGGGCCGGATAGCAGTGGGCAAGGCTGACTGGGTGGAGCTGCCCTGTTTAATAAGAGCAGGCCTGCTTTTGTCTGTTTTCTACACCATGATTCTGGATGAGATTTTACATCAAAAAGGAGAGTGGTAATATGATTAAAATAGGAGCAGCTTTGGCAGCAAAACAGAAGAAATGAGCCAAACGCTGACATTAATTGACTAAAAGCTAATGAAAGCAGAACTGAATCAATCAATTACAGCAAAATTGAACATCACTTGACAATATCTAGAATTCAATATTTTTTAAGTAGATCAGTAATAGCTCAAAGTGGTATGTATTTCATTGGCCTAGGCCTGAAATTCTCCTCATTCCTCTGGCTCACCTCTGGGACTAAGGACACTGAGAAGCCTCTGCAATGGATGGGCTCAACCGGCCAACCAGCCCTCCTACACTATATGGTATACAATATTAGTGTTTACCAACCCCTCCTTGTTCTGGCCAATGCAATGTGAGTAGAATTAGTGTGTGTTTTCTCTTTGACTCTGAGCAAGTTGCCGACCTGTCTCATTTTTCTCATCTATAAAGCATAATATCTACATTACAGGGTTGCTGAAGAGATCAAATTATAAACACACACATGCACACATAGCTAGCATTTAACAGTATCTAACAGTTGGTAGGGAATCAATAAACCTAGGTACCCTTTCTCTCTGTTCCCTTCCTTCTAACCATTTCTAAGCTCGGTAATGTGCTGTTTTGATCTCACAGGCTCTAGAACTAGGACTCCTTAAAGTCCTTACTCCAAGGTCTGTGTCCTCTACATCCCTGCTAGGGCTTTGAAACTAGAAGTGAATGCTGCCAAATCCTCTGACTTATCGCTCTTTGTAGTGCACTTCAACTCTAAAGACGAAATCACGGCCAGGGCGACAGGCTAAAGTCTGAGTCAGGGTGAGCTTTTGGGGAAACGGCGTGGAGCGGGTGGTGGTGTCAGCTCTCTCCTCGCCTACACTTCAGCTCCTTTCTGCCCACATCCATTCAGGGCATTGCCCTGTTTGTCTCCTCAGCTGTCTTCTGTATTAACCTCCAGCCTGTTGGGTGCATTCAGTTCTGCCAGCTGGACTTTCAATATGTATTTAAAAAGACACATAAACAAAAAACAAAAACAAAAACAAAAAAACTTTACTAGAAGCCAAAGGAAAACCATCATATTCAAAAATATAAATATAAAAGCAAAGAAATGCATACATTTACTGGACAAAGAGGTCTCATCTTGAGTAAACTGGGAGCACTCCGAGATGTCTGGAGGTCTTGGAGGCTACACGCTATCCATTGATACCTCCTGTCAAATTCTGAACATGCAGAAATTACCAGATCTCAAAGTCCTCATTTCTTGTTGAATTTTAGTGAAAAAAACTTCCCTGGATCCCACCGTAGTTGAGTCTTGGAACAGGGTGTTAATCTTTATATTATAAAATGTCCTTGACTAGAGATAATAGGCAGTATGAAACATTATATTTTTAAAAAGGAAACATAATATTGAAAAAAAAAGAGAAATACTGTTGCAGTGACTTGGAATCCCCAGTTCTCAAAGGGAAGAAGGCCAATAAAGAAGTGGGAGAAGAAAGTCTGAGAACCGCATGAAAAGGGTCCTGTTCCCACTAGGACCATGGTCCACTCACCAAATTATCAGAGACGTTTGAACCAGAGCAACTCCATCTTGAATAGGAGCTGGGTAAAATAAGGCTGAGACCTACTGGGCTACACTCCCAGGAGGTTAGACATTCTAAGTCACAGAATGAGATAGAAGGTAGGCACAAGACACAGGTCATAAAGACCTTGCTGATAAAACAGGTTGCAGTAAGGAAGCTGGCCAAAACCCACCAAAACCAGGATGGCAATGAGAGTGTCCTCTGGTCGTCACTGCTACGGTCTCACCAGCTCCATGACAGTTTACAAATGCCACTGCAACGTCGGGAAGCTACCCTATATGGTCTAAAAAGGGGAGGCATGAATAATTTCCCCCGCTTAGCATATAATCAAGAAATAACCCTAAAAATGGACAACCAACAGCCCTTGGGGGTGCTCTGCCTATGAGTAGCCATTCTTTTATTCCTTTAGTTTCTTAATTACTTGCTTTCACTTTACTCCATGGACTCCCCTCAAATTCTTTCTTGCGCAAAATCCAAGAACCCTCTCTTGGGGTCTGGATCGGGACCCATTTTCGGTAATAAACTTGTAGCATTTGGTGTTTTAATGTTTGTGTTTTCTTGACTTGTTACCTCATTTAGCCTCAACTGTTTAAAGATGGTCTTTTTGGCCATTTTATTCAGCTTTAATTGTTCTAAGGGGAGTGAAGAAATGGTCATTTACTTTGAAAAATCAGAGGGAACGTGTTGATGCGGGAAGCAGCTAATCCTTGGGGTACAGTGGCCCTTGGTAGTGCAGGAAAGTCCTGGGGGCCACCTCTAACCCACCTTCCTCCTCTACAGCATCTCCCACTGTAGTCATTCTCTACCGAAGCCCCAGAAGGTGCGGCACTTTGCCACGACAGAGTACTGGGTTCATGTTTCTTTCCGAGGCGGGCCAAGAGCTCTCAGCCCACTGGCAGTGGCGAGATGACGGACACCCAGCGAGTCCAATGGGCGTCGAACGCGTCTAGGCTTGGTGGACTTGTCAGCGCCTGCCTGGCTTCGGTCCCCAACTTGAGCACCGGCCCTTTCCTGCATGCCCCTAACCCTCGCAACGCTAAACAGTGAAAAAAAAAAAAAGACAAAAACAAAAAGCATCTCAACACACACACACACACACACACACACACACACACACACACACACACACACACACACACACACACACACACACACGGATCCGCGTTCAGAAAGGCGTGCACTTCCTACGCCTGATCCCCCGCATCGCAACCTCGCAGCTTCCCCGGCGTGCAGCGCTCATTTACCAATTCCCTTCCTGGGAGTTGCGGCTTCCCTCGCTCGGCCCCACTCCCGTTTACCCTTTCCCCAGCTCCCGCCTTAGCCAGGGGCTTCCCCGCCTGCCGCTAGGGCTCGGGCCGAAGCGCCGCTCAGCGCCAGCCTGCCGCTCCCCGGGCTCCACTTTCACTTTCGGTCCTGGGGGAGCTAGGCCGGCGGCAGTGGTGGTGGCGGCGGCGCAAGGGTGAGGGCGGCCCCAGAACCCCAGGTACAGCGCGCTCGAGCCGCGGGTAGGGGACTGCGGGCCGGGAGGAGAGCGCGGCACCCGCCCCTTCCCTGCGCCCGTCAAGTGGGGGGCTGAGGGCCTGGGGCACGGGAGGAGGGAGACGGGGCACGGGAGGAGGGAGACGGGGCGCGGGAGGAAGGCGACGGGGCGCGGGAGGAAGGCGACGGGGCGCGAGACAGGGCGCGGGAAGGGCGGGGGGAGTCGCTGGCTAGGCCCGAGTCCGCGGGGTGCCCGGCGGGTTGGCGGCGGGCCCACCCCTGCCGGTCCCTGTCCCTGTCCCTCCGGGCGCGTGGCCGGTGCGCCTGCTTCACGGGTCTCCCCGCTGTTCGGCCGGCGGGAGCCTCCCTCAGCGCTCCGCCTGGCGCCTGGATGCCTGCCAGTCCTGCAGGCCACCGACGCCCGCGCGAGGCCAAAAGGCGGGGTGGGGCGGGCAGCTGGCTCGGGCTGAGGAGGGCACCTGCCCATAGCTGCTAGAGAAACCCAGAGGCTTTGGGTTAAAGACTCTGGTGGGGTGGGATGCGCGGGCCGTGTGTGTTCTTAAGGTCACTTCCCTCCCTGCTTCTCCTGTTCTTCTGGTCAGCAATTCTCTCTCTCCCCTTCGCTCTGGCTCTGGCTGGGTTTTATTCAGATAAAGCACCTCTGTTGACGCAAATTAAAAGTTTCCTATCTGGGTGCCTCACTGGCCAGGTGGTCCTACAAAGTTAATTCCATGAGGGGAAGGGGGAGAGCACACACTTCCTCACGCTTTTGGATTTCTTTGTGTAGGCTAGGTTCAGAAAGAAATTATCTGTTTCCTATTAAACACCCAGAGGATTCGCTCTGAACTCAGGACGTGGTCAACAATTAACAAAACAACAAAACAAAACAAAACAAAACAAAAAACTTGAAAATTGGGCACAGTTGTCTCTTGCCTGAGGATTTTTAATTAGTATAAGTAGCACATTTTCAGGTGCGGCCTGAATAGAAACATTCTAGTACTTTTTTTTTTTTCAAATTAATCCAGCATTTTTATTATTTACCAACAGTGCTTGTTAATTTCATTGTTCAGGAAATTCTGGAAGAACCTCAATTACTTCTTGATGATCTATTTCATATACTATAGTGCCCCAATAAAAGGAAGGGAGGCAGAGGTTGCAGTGAGCCAAGATCGCACCACTGCACTCCAGCCTGGGAGACAGAGCGAGACTCCGTCTCAAAAAAAAAAAAAAAAAAAAAAAAGAGGGATCTTGGTGAAGCTGAAAAAGCAGGGAGTTTATACTCACACAGATGTGGATTGCATTCCAACAAGTTGTGTGAACTTAGCAAAGTTACATGAATGGTTCTTTGCTTCAGTTACCCCACCTTGAATGAGAATAATAGGCTATTAGAGAGAGTGAGCATGTGTAAAGTGCCTGGCACTTTGGAGGAGCTTAGTAAATATTAGTTCTTTTTCCTCCTTGGCTTCTATTCCTTTAAGTGTTAGTGGAGTGTAACTTCAAAGAGAATTGTACTTCTCTTGGGAAGAGCTGCTTATATTGAGTAGACTACTGTTTTTGAGAGCTTTCTTTTTTTTTAACTGCCTCCCTTTCAGAAAATTGTTAGTAAAACCAGACCCTAGGAGACCAGCCAGAACCATGAAATGCCATGTTTCAAACTGGAACACTTACTATTGGAAGCAAAGCCAAACAAGAGCTAATTTTTCAGGGGAAGAGCCAAACACACGAACATGATCACAGAATCTTGGATGTAGCCTACAGTTTGGGATTAATAAGAGAATTTATTAGTGAAGCCCTTTATTCACTACATGGAGTTTTTACCAAGCCCCACTCATGCACTGCATCCTCGTTGAGACATAACTGTTTCTCTTTGGACCCCTCATGGACCCAACCCTGCAAAGCCTCTGATCCAAGGTCCCGGTACCAACCCCTTCCGCAGCACATCAGCCTTTCTGTCAGCTCATAACGAGTTGGAATTTCTAGATCTTCTCTGGGGCTGTTGGAGAGGTCTCGGGGACTTTCAGAGTCCTTACATGCTTGAACCTGCCACCTTCACAGAGTCCTCTGGATCCCGTCTTGGGGCAGGGGCGATGCTCATTAAGCTGTTGCTGCCAGTAATTCCATATGGAAAGCAAAACACAAGTTCCATTTACTCTCTAGTTCCCCAACTTCAAGGGCAAAAAAATGTTCTCCCTGTTCACACTTCCTGTCTCACCTGGGTGGTGCCTTTTGAACTGGGATTATGAGATTTCCAAGACTCTCTCTAATGTGTAGGTATCCTTTCTGTTTAGCCTCCAGATTGCTCCAGAGGTGAGGAGAAGGGAATTCCCTTGAGCTGTGCATTTGGGAAGGGAGCAAGGAAGTCAGGGGTTAGGGAAGGCACTTCAGCCATTGCCTTGAATTAGTATCCTATCACATAGAGTTGAAGGGGGAAAGCCAGGATTTGGCAAGGATGAGCTTTTCAACCTTGGCTTCTCAGTAAAATCTCTGGACAGTTTTTTTTTTTTTTAAAAAAAAAAACCAAAAACCAGAAATTAAACAATCCGTAAAACCATACCCCGATCTTATCACCATAGGTTCCAGTTTAATTGTTGTCAATAAGGACCCAGGCATCGAAAATTTTAAAAGCTTCCCAGGTTACATTAATATGCAGCCAGAGTTAGGAAACTTGACATCTCAGAGAGGGAGAATTCCATGTACTGTGAACACTTTGAGGGATCCACATTGTAAGCTTGCTACTTTTCCCAACTGGAACACGAGGAGTTTGGGCCAATCACTTGCATTCACCTGGTATGGGCCCCTCTTGGCAAACACCCATTAGAAAGGTGCGTTTGTATAAAAGAAATAAAAACTTATGTTTGATGCTTGGGGCATGGTTTGCCAACTTCCTTAAAATTCACATTGCCTTTTTTTTTTTTTTTTAAAGACAGAGTCTTGCTCTGTTGCCAGGCTGGAGTGCAGTGGTGCAATCTCAGCTCACTGCAACTCTGCCTCCCAGGTTCAAGCGATTCTCCTGCCTCAGCCTCCCAAGTAATTAGGACTACAGGTGCGCACCACCACACCCAGCTAATTTTTGTATTTTTAGTAGAGACGGGATTTCGCCATGTTGGCCAGGATGGTCTCAATCTGTTGACCTTGTGATCTGCCCACCTCATCCTCCCAAAGTGCTGGGATTACAGGCGTGAGCCACCATGCCTGGCCTGAAATTCACATTGCTTTTATGTCTTTAAAATCAATCCAGGTGATTGATACGTTTGCCACAAACTACTGGGAAAATTAAGCTCTTTAAGCTCTTCCTGGCTAAATAAATAGGTAATTAACTTTTGGCATGACAATTTGAGGAAGACACTGATGTTATTAAAGGTTACCATTACATATACTTACAGGGGAAGTGGAGACCTCGTTCTAGTGGTGGCTGCCACTGTGTCAGCATTTGATTTCCAGGGTACTAGGGTGACTTTCTCCAAGGTCCAGTGTCAGTGGGGAGTGGTGCTTGATCAGATGTTCCTCTGATATGGTTCTGGTTTTGCTTCTTTCATGAGCCTGGTTTCCCAAATGTCCTGCAACTCTGTGACCCGTGTAGTGAGCCACTCAGGATCCCCTAATGATTCCTTTTCTGCCTATATCAGCCAGAGCTTGTTCGGTTGCTTTCAACCAAGAACCCTGACAGGTAGAGTTAATTTAAACTTTGAACATCAAATGATGCTTTCTAGTACGTGTTAATGATTGTTGCTAACTGTAAACATCTTTCTTATATGAAACCATAACATAGGGAAGGTCCTTTTACTTTCAGGAAAAGACCTAGTACTTTTGGAAGTTTATGCCTATTTCTGTGAATGCTGGGTGGATACATTCTGAAATTATGCTGTGTCAATAACATTTTAATGACATATATTTTTGCTTTTGTACATTTGTGCCGCTAGGTAGGTAGAGCAAGAAGATGGTGTTTCTGCCCCTCAAATGGTCCCTTGCAACCATGTCATTTCTACTTTCCTCACTGTTGGCTCTCTTAACTGTGTCCACTCCTTCATGGTGTCAGAGCACTGAAGCATCTCCAAAACGTAGTGATGGGACACCATTTCCTTGGAATAAAATACGACTTCCTGAGTACGTCATCCCAGTTCATTATGATCTCTTGATCCATGCAAACCTTACCACGCTGACCTTCTGGGGAACCACGAAAGTAGAAATCACAGCCAGTCAGCCCACCAGCACCATCATCCTGCATAGTCACCACCTGCAGATATCTAGGGCCACCCTCAGGAAGGGAGCTGGAGAGAGGCTATCGGAAGAACCCCTGCAGGTCCTGGAACACCCCCGTCAGGAGCAAATTGCACTGCTGGCTCCCGAGCCCCTCCTTGTCGGGCTCCCGTACACAGTTGTCATTCACTATGCTGGCAATCTTTCGGAGACTTTCCACGGATTTTACAAAAGCACCTACAGAACCAAGGAAGGGGAACTGAGGTATTTTTTTTTCTCTTTTTCTTTTAAACTGCAAGTGCTGCCCACGCTAAATTCATTATTTCAGATTGATTGTCTTTTAAAATTCCCTTTGCTGTTGAACTTTTTCTTCAGTTTTGCTTTTGCATCTTCTTTATAGTGTTAAAAATGGCTTTTTCCCTTGCTTTTTAAATCTCATTTTAAAATTCTATTTTAACCAATTTTCTTTCCCCCAGCTCTATCAGAGTAAATATCTATTTGTTTATTTGGTTCGATTTCTGAGACATAATAAACATGTTTAATTTTCCTGAACTGTGTATTAGTTTCCTAGGGCTGTTGTAACAAAGTACCACAGACTGGGTAGCTATAAACAACAAAATGTATTCTCTCTCAGGTCTGGAGGCTAGAAGTCTGAAATCAAGGTGTCAGCAGGCCCGTGCTCCCTCCAGACTCTGGGTAGAATCCTTCCTTATATCTTCCTAGCATCTAGTGGTGGCCGTGGATCCCTGGTACTCCATGCCTAGCACCTGCGTCATTCTAGTTTCTCCCTCTGTTAGTCGCATGGCCATTCTATTTTCCTATGTCCCAGTCTCCATCTTCTTATAAGGAAACCAGACATACCAGATTAGGGCCCAGCCTGGTGGCCTCTTCTTCACTCCATGATACTTGTAAAGACCCTATGTCCAAATAAGGTCACATGCACAGATACTACAGGTTAGGACTTCAGCAAATCCTACTAGCAACATATTAGAGGAAATACTTTTATCTCAGTTAAAACTTTTTTAGAGATCTCTTCTCACCTTGCTTTGGTTCTGTTTTTAAGGAGGAGACTTATTTGGGGGAGATTTTATGCTCAGTTTTAAAATGGAATTTTATTTGTTGGTAGATTATACTAATTTATTTTTCAAATTCCATATTATTTTATCAAGGTAAGAAAGTAAAATTTATTTCACTCATAGCCCCCTGAACTGACCACTACTTCTATTTCACTGGAATATTCTGCCAGACTTCTTTCTGGATATGCATATATATTATTTTATATAAATAGAATTCTTATATTTTCTCTTTTACAAGGAAATTTTTTAACTTAATATGTTGGGAAGATGTTTTATATAAATGACTATTACTAGACATCTTTTTAATGATTTTATTAAAATACATAGTTGTACATTAATATCTTTAATCCCTCGGGAATGGAAATGAAATTGTTTCCAATTTTTCAGTATCAACAACACTTTGATGAGCATTTTTGTAAATTATTTCTTTAGAATAAATGCCTAGAAGTAAAATTGGTAAGCCAAAGAGCCTATAAATTTTTGATAAACTTTGTCATTTTTTCTTACCCCTCACCAATAGTGTATATTGGCAGTCTTTTTAGAGCAAAAAAGGTCCCCAAATAAATGATCTCTTTTTAATTTACGTAACTTTGATTAAGGAAGTTGAGCAGCTTTTGATATGTTTGTTAATGATTTATAGGTTCTTCTTTTATGAATTGCCTGTTAATGACCTTTGACTTTGCCTGAGATTCCCTTGGTTGTTGGGGATTTTTTTTTTTTTTTTTTTTTTTTTTTTGTCGAGACGGAGTCTTGCTCTGTCACCCAGGCTGGAGTGCAGTGGCGCGAACTCGGCTCACCGCAACCTCCGCCTCCCGGGTTCAAGCAATTCTCCTGCCTCAGCCTCCTGAGTAGCTGGGATTACAGACGCGCACCACCACACCCAGCTAATTTTTGTATTTTTAGTAGAGATGGGGTTTCACCATGTTGGCCAGGGTGGTCTCGAACTCCTGTCCTCGTGATCCGCCCGCCTAGGCCTCTCAAAGTGCCAAGATTACAGGTATGAGCCATTTTTAGGATTACATATTTTTAGGATCTCACTATCTGTTAAGGCTATTAAGTTTTCCTCACATACTTCTTAAATGAATTTTCCCTGTTTTTTACTTTTTCTTTTTAACTTTTTTTTTTTTCTTCCCGAGACAGGGTCTGGTTCTGTCGCCCAGGCTGGAGTGCAATGGCGCAATCTCAGGTCACTGAAACCTCTGCCTCCTGGGCTCAAACCATCGTCTCACCTCTGCCTCCCAAGTAGCTGGGACTACAGGCCTGCACCACCATGCCTGGCTAATTTTTGTATTTTTGGTAGAGATGGGGTTTTACCATGTTGCCCAGGTAGGTCTCACACTCCTGGGCTCAAGTAATCCTCCCACCTCAACCTCCCAAAAATGTGTTAGGATTACAGGCATGAGACACCATGACCATGCCCAGTGTAACTCGTCTTTTAACTTAGTTTATGATAGCTTTTGTCAGATGAAATATTTTTTAGTAGCAAAATCCATCAATCTTATAGTAACTTTAGGAATTAAAAAGCAAACACCTGTTTTAGAGTTCCTGGTGCTTCATGCTCAATTTTTATTTCACTTGCCTTAATTTTAGGATACTAGCATCAACACAATTTGAACCCACTGCAGCTAGAATGGCCTTTCCCTGCTTTGATGAACCTGCCTTCAAAGCAAGTTTCTCAATCAAAATTAGAAGAGAGCCAAGGCACCTAGCCATCTCCAATATGCCATTGGTGAGTCTGCACTCCTGTGTATTTTCTATAGGAAAATCTACTGATTCTCTGTGACTTGCACTAGCCCAGTGACAGTCAACATTGGGTCACCTGTTTTGTTTTATTGCCTGGCAGATCGTTACTAACTTTTCATTTATAACCTATGCTTTTGTTTCAAGCCATAGTTATATGTAATCAAAGTAAAAATTGCACCTAAAAATGCAAGATTTCAGTAACAGTGCCATTCCAGGTTATACATGCTGATAGGAGGGAAGTGGTATAAGAAATTCAGGTCAGGTTTAAATATTAGTGCCCTTCACAAAGCACTTTCACCCTCATTTTCTCATATGATCTTTTAAAATGATTTTAAAGGTAATGCTTTGTCAATAAGGCCATATTTTTAGCATACAGTTATTTTCTCTAAGTTACATATACTATATAGTAATATTCATTATATAATTTGTAACTGAATGTACAAAATTGGGCAGACAGAAAAAGAGAATAAAAGTAATCTTTTCCAAATATTATGGTGCTGAAGGTAAGTCATGATAGATAGCTTAGCTTCCAGAGGGAAACTATTATTCCCCAATCTCAATGCGGATGTGGACAGCATTCCCTCTGATTTTTAAAAGTGACTAGAAGATGACCATGCCAAATGAATAAAACTGTTCAGTAAGTGCCATCATCCTTTGATTCTGGTAGTTTAGAAAAGCATCAGCTGGGCCGTCATTCTGCAGCTGGTATATAACACCTCCTGGAAGCACATCCTTTGTTCAGAGAAACTCACTGGGGATCAGAGTCAGAGTAGAATAGGCTTTGCCTAGAGTCCTGAGGGAAGAACAGCTTTGTCCCTGTGCTGACCGGGGAAGCAATATCATAACATGGAGAGATACTGAGAGCCACAGACCAACCTCTAGTGTGGTGCTTCTCAACCTTAAAACTCTATACCTACCTGCCTTCATACCATAAGGATGCCTTCCTCAAACAAGATTCGGATCTCCCACCCCACGCCAGAGGGCTATCCTCTGTAAAAATCACTCTTCTGCAAATTCCTACCAGCCAAGAACTTCTGTCCCCACTCCCACCCTTGTATATGAAAAGACAAGAAACAATTATGCTATTTTCCTAATATAAATTTAATATACAGGATGTGCTTTTTCAAAATATAGTCCTCTCCCCCAGTATTGTGGTATTACTCCCTGGGACAGAAGTGAGTTCTTTAATTGGTGAATCAAAGTTCTAGGAGAATAAAGGACCAGGGATGGGAAGGAGACAGGAGAGAGACTGAAGGACCAAACAGGATTAGTGGAGAAATTTGTAGGCTTTCAGAAGGGAGGCCTGGAGCTTTGGAAGCGCCACAAAGATGCTACAGTCTAAATCCATGGATATCCAGGATCCACTTAGTGAAGATAGGAAAACTTCTTTTTTTTTTTTGAGGATAGGAAAACTTCTAATGCAATGTTGTCCCTTTGGACGGGAATACCTCTCACTAACAGAAATCTAATACGAGTAGCCTGACCTCAGGCTGCAGATATTGAGCTGAGGGGAGAACAATGGGGTCTCAAAAGATCTTTTTGGAGACCAGAAAAACACAATATATACCATTGGAACATTGAAGCTTTTGGGCATGGGGCAGAAATTAATCACATTTAAATTTGAATTAATTTAATCAGGTTATTTTCCTAATAATTAACACAACTCGAGAATGGAAATTTTTGGCCAGGTGTGGTGGCTCATGACTGTAATCTCGGCACTTTGGGAGGCTGAGGCAGGTGGATAACCTGAGGTCAGGAGTTCAAGACCAGCCTGGCCAACATGGTAAAACCCTGTCTCTACAAAAATACAAAATTAGCTGGGCGTGGTGGCACATGTCTGTAATCTTAGCTACTTGGGGGGCTGAGGCAGGAGAGTCGCTTGAACTCTGGAGGTGGAGGTTGCAGTGAGTCAAGATTGTGCCATTGCACTCTAGCCTGGGTGACAGAGTGAGACTCCATCTCAAAAAAAAAAAAAAGGAAATTTTTGTTGTAGGTAGGCAGAAGCAGAATGCATTTAAAAAGAAAAGATGATTTGGGATCCTTTATGAGTAATCCTAGGCTGGGTAGCAGAGTTGGTTTGAATGACCAAATAGTGACCAGAAGTTGGTGGCTGATGGGTATTAAGAAGGATGAGGGCCAGGTGAGGTGGCTTATGGTTGTAATCCTAACACTTTGGGAGGCAGAAGAAGAGGATTTCTTGAGGTCAGGAGTCCAAGACCAGCCAGGGCAACATAGCAAGACCCTATCTCTCAAAACAAAAAAAAAAGATGAGGTCAGAGCAATAGAGGTAAGTATTGGATTACAGGAAAAATGCCCGTGACCATGGTTTCACCCAGCTAATTCTGGCTGGTTCTTTTTCCATCTCCGTGCTTTTTATTGCTGACGTGTTAGACTTTCTTCTTTAGGGGCAGACCTCTAAGACTGTACCTCCATCAACTATACCCCACCCTTACTCTCTGATTGCACTTAAAAAGGTGATTCCAATGAAGCAAATGAAGCAAATCTTTTTTTTTTTTTTTTTTTGAGATGGAGTCTCGCTCTGTCATCCAGGCTGGAGTGCAGTGGCGTGATCTCGGCTCACTGCAAGCTCTGCCTTCCGGGTTCATGCCATTCTCCTGCCTCAGCCTCCCGAGTAGCTGGGACTACAGGCACCTGCCACCACGCCCGGCTAATTTTTCATATTTTTAGTAGAGATGGGGTTCCACCGTGTTAGCCAGGATGGTCTCAATCTCCTTACCTTGTGATCCACCCGCCTCGGCCTCCCAAAGTGCTGGGATTACAGGTGTGAGCCACTGTGTCCGGCCCAGGTTACTTTCAGTTATACAGCAGAACAGAAGCTCTTTTAGGTACTACAGGGTTATATATTTTCCCCGTTGCGTATATGCTCAACAGCTCGACATTGCATTGCCAGATAATTCTCAAACCTGTATTTAAGGAAAAGTGGATCAGCCACATCTTGGCAAAACTCACAATTTCAGTTTTGCTTTGTCTCATCCGTGTTATCAATCCACATATGCCAAATGTGGATTTACAGTGTATTGTAAACTTTAAAATGGTAAGTTGTATGGTATATGAATTATATCTCAATAAAAAAGAAATTGAGTAGAACTGTTTGACGTTAATGTCTAAATTATAATTAGACATTGGAAAGATAACTTTTAAAGTAACTATAGAAGCGTCATTAGACAGGGTCTGGCTCTGTCATCCAGGCAGGAGTGCAGTGGCTCAATCTTGGCTCACTGCAACCTCCACCTCCCAGGCTCAAGCCATCCTTCCACCTCAGCCTCCCCAGTAGCTATGACTACAGGCACGCACCACCAGCAGGACTAATTTTTGTATTTTTTTTGTAGAGATAGGGTTTCACCATGTTGCTTAGGCTGGTCGCAAACTCCTGAGCTCAAGCATTCTGCCTACCTCGGACTCCCCAAGTGCTGGGATTGATACACTTTTAATATTATGTCTGATAATTAGGAAATTTATCATGTTCACTGTATTGGATAATTGGATTACTTGATAATTTGAATTATTCTGATTTTAGGTGAAATCTGTGACTGTTGCTGAAGGACTCATAGAAGACCATTTTGATGTCACTGTGAAGATGAGCACCTATCTGGTGGCCTTCATCATTTCAGATTTTGAGTCTGTCAGCAAGATAACCAAGAGTGGAGTCAAGGTGAGCCTATGACTGTCACATATGGTGACCAGCTTGTTCTGGTTTGCTTGGAACTGGTTTTAAAACTGGAAGTCTGCCTGAGCGCAGTGGGTCGTGCGTGTAAACCCAACATAAACCCAACAGTTTGGGAGGCTGAGGTGGAAGAATCACTTGAGGCCAGGGGTTTGAGACCAGCCTGGACAAAATAGTGAGAACCTGTCTCTGCAAAAAATAAAATAAAAAAATTAGCCAGGCATGGTTCCTTGTGCCTGCTACTAGTCCTAGCTACTAGGGAGGATCCCTTGAGCCCAGGAGTTTGAGGCTTCAATGAGGTATGATTGTGCACTCCAGCCTGGGCAACAGAGCAAAACCATGTCTCTAAACAAACAAACAAAGACAAAACCAAATACCAAAATCCTGGAAGTCCTGCATCCTGGGAACCTTCTCAATCTCAGGCAAACTGGGATGGTTGGCCAGCCTGTTGTCACGGATGCTCATTTGTATAGTGAGGTTCTAATAACAACAACGTGGAGAGAGTGTGGCCTGGCCTGAGTCATGATCCTGGCTTCACTGCAGTCACTTCACTGACTCTCTGACCTTGGCCCTATTCCCTCTGAAACTTAGTATTTACTTCTTTGGAAGGTATAACTTGGACTAGATCCTGCAATGGTCTCTAAGGTTGCTTCTGGTTATGGCTTTCTGCAGTTTGGAAGTAAATGTTACTATCTGGCAGGGGATTTCTGGCTATGGTAAGGAAGATAGAGCAACCTGCTTGGAATACCCAAAGGCTTTGGGCCAGGTACACTGGAATGCTGGAGAGAAAAATCTTGTTTCAAGGCACACTTGTTCCTCATTTGGGTACTGTTGCATAGTGGGCAACCTATTCAACTGTGTGCCGTAGCTCAGAATGCAAACAGGTTTTTCTGAGGGGAGGAAGGGATGCTTTGTTTGAAGATACCTTATGTGTTTGTGCTGGTTTTCACTGAGGCCTGAATAGATGGGGATTCCCTGCTGAATTGCTTTGTGTTCCTCTAGTGCTGAGATTTCTTATTCTTGTGGAGGTATCTTTACTTAACTGGGGATTTGAAGGTGACGCTTGAGACTCGGATGAAGGGAACATTCTTAATTCAGCAGTGAAACTATCAGCAAAAACACCCGCCCATTGCTTTGCCACTTATCTGAATCTCTTAGAAATGATTATTTTAGTAATGTCTAATCTATATTAATATTTTTAATTCTTTCATTTCTTTAAACACATTAAGCATACAATTATATATCTGTGTCTGGTAATTGTTTTATCTGAATTCTTTGTGTATCTGATTTTGTGGTTCGTTGTTTCTGCTGGCTCTTGCTTATGGTATCTTGTTTCCTTGTTTGTATTATGAATTATGTTTGTGAGCTTACGTTGCCTGAGTCTAAAGTGGATTATTCCAGAGAGAAATTGTATTTGCTCTTACAGAGTGTCTGGGAGTACTTACTGGTCCAGGGATCACTTTACTTGTAGTTTCCTTGAGAAAGGGTAGTTATTTCTAGTTTACCTTTACATTAAAGGCCTGGCCTTTGGGTACTAGCTTTATGCAGGGATTGTATGTCCTGTTAGACTTTCTACTTTGGGCAGGCCCTGGACTTGGTCTCTTAACTCCTGAGTCCTTCAATGACATAAGAACCAAAGCTCAAGTCCAGCTGTGTTGGGCTAGTGCCGGCAGGGTTAAAGCTGGCTGCAGTGCTCTCCTGACATCAGAGGGTCTAACTGTCATTTCACTTTGGCTTCTAAATCTTTCTTTCTCATTTGCCATCTTATAAACACATTTAAGAACACTTTATACATGTTATCCAGCATTTGTTGTTGTTTTCAGAAGGGGGATTAATCAGGAACAGTCAGTATTAATGCAAGAAATGGAATTCCCAATTATTTTCTTTAATATTGGCAACCATATCCCACAATATGAAGACATTAATGTCAGTCTTCTACACAATGTGGGGAGAGAAGCCAGTTAAGATATTTGAATTCCTTTCTGTGCCTTTCTCTTTAGGTTTCTGTTTATGCTGTGCCAGACAAGATAAATCAAGCAGATTATGCACTGGATGCTGCGGTGACTCTTCTAGAATTTTATGAGGATTATTTCAGCATACCGTATCCCCTACCCAAACAAGGTAGAGATTTTGCACAGATATTACACATGACATTTGATGAACACAGTCATAGATTTGTCATTATAATTGGCACATCCCTGTAGTTGCCTCAGCAGCCCCTCAAGCCACAAAAACCCCAGCAAGTGACAAACCTGCGGTTGATCTTTCTGAGCATCTCCTCACCCTTGATGAGTACAGTAACTTCTAGTGATAGTGAAGAAAGCAGATCTTCATAGAGTTCTTGAGGCATATGGCATGGGGACTCTTTTGCCTTCTGATTTTATTAGTGGGCAGACAGCAGAGGGAAGAGGCTACATTTTTTCTTTACTGGCACCTGCTTGGCAGGAACCCAGAGGATGCTCAACAAACTGTTTTGAATGAATAAATTTATATAGTGTAAGACAATCTGAATTTTCTTTCTTACACAAGCCCTTAAAACTATTGTATGTTTGATTTTTTAGGTATATGTGGGTCTTGGGCATCCAAAATAGAATGGATTATTATAATTGTTTAGTTTTTCAATTTCCAAACTCCTCATCAGAAGGTTAGAAATGGAGTCAAGAGGCCTGAAAAGGCGGGCACGGTGGCTCATGTCTTGTAATCTCAGCACTTTGGGAGGCCCAGGCAGGTGGATTACTTGAGCCCAGGAGTTTGAGGCCAGCCTGGGCAACATGGCAAAACCCTGTTTCCACAAAAGTACAAAAATATTAGCTGAGTGTGGAGGTGCACTCTTGTAGTCCCAGCTACTTGCAAGGCTGAGATGGGAGGATCACCTGAGCTTGGGAGGTTGAGGCTGCAGTGAGGTGTAATTATACCACTGCAAATGCACTCCAGTATGGGTGACAGAGTGGGACCTTGTTTCCAAAAAAAAAAAAAAAAAAAAAAAAAAAAGGCCTGAGATGCAAGTCTGACTTTGCCACATTTATAGCAAAGTGATGCTGAGTCACTAAGCCTCTTTTTCTCCATTGTGAAAGGTTCTTCCAGTCTAGAGCTCCATGATTATGCACGGGCAGCTGGTTCAAACACCTATCCATTCTGAAGATTAGTGTTTGGGAGAATGTATAGCTTAGAGACTGGTAATGTATTTTATTACTTCCTTCCCAAGATCTTGCTGCTATTCCCGACTTTCAGTCTGGTGCTATGGAAAACTGGGGACTGACAACATATAGAGAATCTGCTCTGTTGTTTGATGCAGAAAAGTCTTCTGCATCAAGTAAGCTTGGCATCACAATGACTGTGGCCCATGAACTGGCTCACCAGGTATAAGCTCATTCACACTTTTAATAAAGTATAAACTACATTTATATTGCTTCTATGGGACATATAAGGCTATTTATATAATTTTTACTTTGTCTTTTTTTAATAGGAAAAATTGTTTCTCCAAAGCATTCGTTTTTATGTCTTATAATGCATGTTGAACTTTTTTTATTTTTACCTTGATTAAATATTGGTCCTGTAAATATATGTTAACATTCATAAACTTATATTGGACATCTAAAATATACTTCTTTCTGAGTGTCTTTGTTTATGGCTTATGTTGTGCTTTTAGTGGTTTGGGAACCTGGTCACTATGGAATGGTGGAATGATCTTTGGCTAAATGAAGGATTTGCCAAATTTATGGAGTTTGTGTCTGTCAGTGTGACCCATCCTGAACTGAAAGTTGTAAGTAGTTATTTATCCTTCACATTTGAGGTTAATTTGTTGTTTTGTTCAATATTGCTGGAAAATATTCACTAATCTTTGATTATAGAACTTATAAAAATATTTCACTGATAACTTCCTTGACAGTTTAGATATGAATCGTGTTGCAAAAATGCTAGTGAACTTTCAAGATATACCACAAAGACTTATTTACAAACTCAGTTGTGAATCTATGATTGTTTGTAAATTGTCCGATTTTATATTTCTTAATATCAAAGAAATAGAAATAATGGCAGCCTAAATGTTCCATTTCATTTTCCCAACCTTCAGGTTGCTCATTGCAGAATTATTAGGTACAGATTACTGATATCTCAATAGGACCCTACTTGCCAAATCAAATGAGTTATACTTAAGGTAACTGCACATTTGATTGTATAACAACCTAGGCTTCTGGATCACAAATTTATTGCTTTGGAACTGCTATATGGTTTATTTTTTAAATCACCACATTTAACTTAAGAAAATCACATATAGCAAAATTAAACTTATGTAAAAATTTTTTTATCCTACTCCAATGATTCTTTTCATTTGTAAATATTTATTCCTATTTTCATCTGCCTGTATACATTATTTAAAATATACATTTGTGAATATTTATTACTGCCTATTTTCATCTGCCTGTGTACATAATTAGAAAGTACACATCAATATTGCATTATAATCCTAAATATTTTCTTATGTTTCTACATGATCTTTAGTAATAAAAATGATTATGGATACATATTGTCCTGTTGAGCTAATGTGCTCTAATAAAGCTGGTTAAGGTTCTCCATTTATTTTCATTATGTTTTTAAAGGTAAGTATCTTTGCTCTAAAACAGTACAGACAATGATTGGAAATGTTGAAATTACTATACAGTTAATTTCTTGTTGTGTTGCTGTTTGGCTATAGGCATAATTGTTTCGTTTTTAGATTAATACGAAATTTTCTTTATTCTAAAGGACTTAAGATGAACAAAATCTATAATGTTTAACTAAAATCATTGTTTCTTGGGTAGCTTTTAGAATATATTAATTCTATTTTGTTTCATAAATATTAGGAAATATGGAATAGGTTGCCCCCAAAATGTGAAGTATGGACTTCTTGCCTCAGATAAAATGTCCCACCTTTGACATTTTTTATCTAAATGTAAATCATAGGTGATGTTTTCTTTTTTCTATCTCAATAGGGAGATTATTTCTTTGGCAAATGTTTTGACGCAATGGAGGTAGATGCTTTAAATTCCTCACACCCTGTGTCTACACCTGTGGAAAATCCTGCTCAGATCCGGGAGATGTTTGATGATGTTTCTTATGATAAGGTAAAAGTAGATTGAGTATAAGGATACAGTTTAGATACTAAAGTTATACATACTGGGGTGGAGAAGTTATAGGCAAGGTTGTGGGGTTAAACCCAGATTGAATGCCTTCTCTCTTGACACGTGCTGGCTGGAGTCAACTCTTTTAGGACTAACTTGCAGTTTGGCTCATAACCCTAAAGATTATTTTATGGGAAATTCTTCATATATTCTTTCTTGGGTTGAAAATTCATGGCTTACAGAAACTCTGCTTTTATTCATCATTCAACAAATAGGTATTGATTGAGCATCAACTTTGTACTAGACAAAAATTCCTGCCCTCGTGTAGCTTACTTTTCAAGGCCTTCAGCAATGGTTAATATTGTTGAGACGCAAATAATTGTCTTGCACAGTGTGCTTAGTAACAGAGTTGGGAATTGTTGACAACAGTTTAATGATTGGGAGATTTTATGTAAAATCCAGATTTCTAGCTTCTCTTGGGGAAGAAAAAGGAGGATTTGGCCACTGTATGTTCTTTGCAGCATAAGCTGGAGCTAAGTTGTTGTTCTCTCTTTGTAAGATCAAGGCTCTGCTTTTCCACTTTCCCTGCCATTCCCAACTGTTCTATTGTCTTCTCACCGAGGCTGAGAGTGTGTTGCCAGTTACCATTGTGCTTGGCTGTTGTTTTACCGGTAGCAAACAGAAAAGTCTTTCTTGCTTGCATGTTTCCATTGAAAGTCCAGGGGAAAAAGAATGTAAAAGAGCATTCTTCTTATCCTTGGACTACTTCCCTTATTTATATGCCCTGTCATGTGCCACTGGAGGCATTTGAGTTTGTGACTCACCATCCGTGGTAATGGGAGTGGAGGGGAAAAGAGCCCTTTACCAAGGAATACAGGGTGTCTGGGAAGACTCTTGTTCCCTTTCTCATTGTGACTCCAGCTCCATCAGCCCTCCATGCTCAAGGCTGCCTGGGCTCCCTGGACATATCCACTTTTCCTTCCCTGGCATCTACCTCTGCCTCCATCTCTAGTGCTCCACCCCTTGTTGTACTGGCCTCTCCTTAGTCCTGCCCTGGAATGGCAGTGGGAGAGCCAGGTAGTAGCTCAAGGTCCAATGTTTAATCTGCACCATTATCCCCACTCACATGTGAACAAAGGGAGTTGGCAGATGATGCTAATTTGCCCCATCGGGAGGTCTGGCTACTGATAGAAAATAAGGGCCTCAGTGGGCTCAGAGCATAAGCAATCACATTAGACAAATCTCCTGCCTAAACAGGTCCAGGTTTAACCTGCTTACTCTGTTTCACAAATTGCCAGACATTAACAGTGTTCCTGCAGTTGCGTTTTCAAAGAAATGTGTTTTATTGCAAAAGAATATGTGATTTCAGATGAGACTGCAATGAAACTATAGATAACAATTATTTCTATTATCTTTTCAGGGAGCTTGTATTCTGAATATGCTAAGGGAGTATCTTAGTGCTGACGCATTTAAAAGTGGTATTGTACAGTATCTCCAGAAGCATAGCTATAAAAATACAAAAAACGAGGACCTGTGGGATAGTATGGCAAGTGTGAGTATGTTTTTGAATATCTCTGCATTTGGGATTGACAGGCTTATCATCTTGTTTTGTTTTCCCTGCATTATGTTAATCCCTCTGAGGAGAATCATTGTTTTCTATAGAAATAAGAGTGATGTGTTTATTTTTGGTTTTTAGATTTGCCCTACAGATGGTGTAAAAGGGATGGATGGCTTTTGCTCTAGAAGTCAACATTCATCTTCATCCTCAGTAAGTTTCTATATCTGTACATGTTCCCCCAAGCACATTCTTTTACTGCATATTCTTTGAAAGGCAGCTCTGTGCCAAACTTTCTGAGGTCCTTGATTATATCACCCTCATTCCAGATAAGACTGCATTTAAACTATTCCATACTCATAATCTTTTTCAATTTTTCTTAAAGTGTATCTATACTGGAGGGTTGCAGAGCTTTCCTTGGTAATGCTTCTCACTGATACTAATTTCTCTAGCTTCCCTTTTAAAGCAGTGGATTTATGACATGTTTCTATAGCAGATTACAGCTGCATTGTAGCAGTCAAAAGGATATGTCAGTCATTTACAGAGCTCTGCATTTGTACAAAGACAATGGCACTGAGCATTCTTGAATACTTGTCATGTGTCAGGCACATGTTAAGCACTTATATGTATTATCTCCTTTACTCTTCATAATAAACCTGTGAGCTGGGTACTATTACTATCCCTATTTTTAAAGTTGAGAACATGAAATACAAAGACATCTGATTGGTAAATTGCAGAGCAGAGATCTGAATTTAGATCTAACTCATGTTTTTAACTGCTAAGCTATAAAGTATTCATAACATCAAGTCACAAAACAGCCTGAGTCTCTGTTCATCTGGACTTGTGGGATGTTTTCAGAGGAAGCTGAGGGTGAGTCTGGAGATACAACAGAATTTTTTGTTTCTTTTTTCTTTTTATATGTTTACTTTCTTGGCTTTTTTGTTCCTAGAGACTGCTTTATTCAGTAGTTTCTAGATTTGTCCTGTGGCACATTTTATCTTTTTACTAATTCTTTTTTTTTTGAGACAGAGTCTCACTCTGTTGCCCAGGCTGGAGTGCAGTGGCGTGATCTCGGCTCACTGTAGCCTCTGCCTCCCCGGTTCCAGCGATTCTCTTGCCTCAGCCTCCCAGGTAGCCGGGATTACAGGCACACGCCACTACACCCGGTTAATTTTTGTATTCTTAGTAGAGATGAGGTTTCACCATGTTCGCCAGGCTGGTCTTGAACTCCTGACCTCAGGTGATCCACCCAACTCAGACTCCGAAAGTGCTAGGATTACAGGCATGAGCCACCGCGCCCAGCCTTTACTACTTCTTAAATCATTTCTTAAAAGCTTTTTTAGTATCAAAAAACAGCTCCTTTTGAGTTCCCACTATTTGTTGAGTGTGGGTCATCTCTGTGTTCTCACTTTAGAAACACAGGCTCTTGACTGAACATTGTTTCCACCTTGCTTGTCCAAAACCAGCATAGTTAGGTAGGTATTGAAAACCTGGCACTTTCTCTCCCTTCTCTTCCTTCATTCATTCACATGCCTGCTTTGTGCCCAGTGTTATTGCCAGCCCCAAAGTGTGCCCGGCAGAACTAGGTATGCTACCTGTCCTCCAGACACGTATGTGTAGTGGAGGAAAATGACAAGCAAACAGCTGGTGCTCTAATGGAGGTGTGATGGCTGGGGACATCACACTGAGAAAGGGATCAGAAAGTGCTCCTAAGAGGGGAGGTTGGCAACTGGTAGCGGCTGTTTGAGCATAAGCTGGTGTTCTCTCTTTTCTTAGAGTTGGGTTAAATGGGTGATGTGTCTGCCTTTTTGTGTACACACCAGCATTGGCATCAGGAAGGGGTGGATGTGAAAACCATGATGAACACTTGGACACTGCAGAAGGGTTTTCCCCTAATAACCATCACAGTGAGGGGGAGGAATGTACACATGAAGCAAGAGCACTACATGAAGGGCTCTGACGGCGCCCCGGACACTGGGTAATGCTCCTAGAGTAAAATTTGTTTTGTTGTCTAGGTAACATCTGCCTTGTAGGATGGAACCTTGCTTTTGAAATAATGCCCTTACCACTATTGCTAAAATATTTCAGCTGCATCTGTGTATCCTATGAAGTTGACTTATACTCCCTGCCCCCATCTTCCCAGTAGGATTAAGGAGGCTTTAAACCTTGGTTATTCTCAGTAAAGGTGACGATGTAATTACTTTAACATTCTCATATTTTGTAATTTGATATGATGGTAATTTCTGGTTACTGGCTTGAAATCAACTCCAACCTAAGCAACTGCTACTAGATTACAATAGTGCCTAGCATTTGGTTGGAGCTGAGGACAAAAGAATTTAGGTGATTTCCGAGAATGATGAGAGACTCAGTTGTCTTCTTCTGAGTTAGATTTGGAACCTGTTTGTCAGCTTAATGCTATAGAAGAATATTATTAGAAACAAGATGCTGCAACTTGATTGACCCTGGATGGATACCGTTAAAAAATTCTTTTATCTTGAAACAATTTCAGACTTATAGAGAAGTTACAAGAATAACACAACAAATTCCTATATATCCTTTACCTAGATACATGTTAACTCTTTACTCCTTTACTTTCTTCACCTCCCTCTCTCTCTTGCTCTCTCTCTCTCTCTATATATATATGTATATGTTTGTGTGGATATATGTGTGTGTGTATATATACATATATATGTGTATATATATACACACACATATATATATATAATATATACACCTCCCTCCCCCATCTTCCCAAAAGGATTAAGGAGGTTTTAAATCTTGATTAATCGATATCCATCTATCTACATACATACCTATATACATATGTCTGTATGTATATACTTGGCATATGTTTTTCTGAACTGTTTGACAGTAAATTGGTGACATGATTCCCCTTCACACCTAAATGTTTCAGCATAGTATTTTCTACAAAACAACATTTATGGCCGGTCACAGTGGCTCATGCCTTTAATACCAGGACTTTGGGAAGCCGAGGCAGGAGGATCACCTGAGGTTAGGAGTTCGAGACCAGCCTGGCCAACATGGTGAAACACCATCTCTACTAAAAATACAAAAATTAGCCGGGCATGGTGGCGGGCGCCTGTAGTCCCAGCTACTCAGGAGGGTGAGGCAGGAGAATCGCTTGTACCCAGGAGGTGGAGGTTGCAGTGAGCCGAGATCGCACCACTGCACTCCAGCCTGGACAACAAGAGCGAAACTCCATCTCAAAACAAACAAACAAAAAACAAGAACATTCAGTTATATAACCATAGCCACAGTACAATTATCAAAATTGGGAAATAAACTTTATATAATACTATTATCTATAAATCCCATTCAACTTTTTCCAATTGTCCTAAAAATATCCTTATAGCAAAATAGAAAATAAATTCTGACTTAGGATTTAATACAGGATCACTTATTTTATTTAGTTGTTGCATCATTTTGGTCTCCATTTTTTTCTGAAACAACTCTTCAGTCTTTTTTGGGCTTCTCGATATTGACATTTTTTGAAGAGTACTGGCCAGTTATTTTATAGAATGCCTTTCAGTTTGGATTTTCTGCTGTTTCTCCATGATCAGGTTCAGCTTACATATCATTGACAGGAATCCCAAGGAGGTGATATTGTGTCCTTCCTAATATACTATTCAGGAGGCACATGAGTCCTGAAGTTAGGCCTCTGAGATGCAATCAGCCAATCACTGTAAAAAGGCTTTCAGGGTTCACGTGAGTCCAAATTCTTAGCTCTACTCAAGGAGTCCAAGAAAAGGAAATAGTGCCCGAGCTGACACTCCCTACAAAGCTGGAAAACAGACTGGGGATGTTTTGAGAGCTTGGCTGTAGCAGTTTTGGTACTATCTTGTTCTAAACTAACCAGTGCCTGGCACATGATAGGTGATTTAATAACTGCTTGTTGAATTGAATCAACAAATGAACAATCCACCTCTCCTTTATTTTAGGTACCTGTGGCATGTTCCATTGACATTCATCACCAGCAAATCCGACATGGTCCATCGATTTTTGCTAAAAACAAAAACAGGTAATTTATTTTGGAAACTACTAGTTAATTCAAGGAGGAATGTGAAAATGTGTAGGATTAAAGTGCTGTTTCTTTTGCTATTTATCTTGGTTAAAGCAAAAGGGATCAGATTGAAAATGCTTTCTGGTTTCAAAGAAGAATGGCCAATATCTTGCCAGATAGAGATTATAGCTGAATTATATAATGCTAAAAAGGAGGGATTACCAGTGAACATTCACTATTACTTTGTTAACATTACTGGGTTATATCATATGTATGGCCAGAGATGTAGTTGCCATTCTTTTCATAGATCTGTAAATCTCACAAAATTGATGTCTAAAGCTAGTGTTAGCTTTTGTCTATTGAGTTGCTGTTTTCTGGTTTCTGAGAGAAATAAGTGATGTTTTCAAATTTTTCAGTATTAAACTCTTCTCTAATTTCCTTGCCCAATCTTGGATGAGAAAAGCTTTCTTCAGGCAGGGGAGCAAATGGAACTTTGATTTATTTTATTTACTCTAGATGTGCTCATCCTCCCAGAAGAGGTGGAATGGATCAAATTTAATGTGGGCATGAATGGCTATTACATTGTGCATTACGAGGATGATGGATGGGACTCTTTGACTGGCCTTTTAAAAGGAACACACACAGCAGTCAGCAGTAATGATCGGGCGAGTCTCATTAACAATGCATTTCAGCTCGTCAGGTAATACACGCTGCACAAAGTCGCGGTTTATTTCTGAAAGCAGCTGTTATTGTTCAAATTCTTGATTTCTAAAGACAAAAATGATTGATTGATAACAAGAAGTTGAAAGGTGTTTTCCTTTAAGTTCTTCTAACAACCCAAGATTGCTTTTAGTCTTATAATTAACCTCCTGTCTGTGACTACTAAGGCACTTGAAGGAAGGAATCTGTATCTTAATCTTTCTCATTAATAATTCAGATCATACTGAGGCGGAAGTGTAGATAACCAGGAGATCAACATCCTGGCGAAACTCCTTGCCTTGTCCCCGCGGCATGGTCCCGCAGCTTCTTCTGGCCCCGCTATACCGGATCAGGTTTCTCCCACCACTGGGTCTTTATAACAGCCTTGAAGTCTTCTTAGAAGACTAAGTGACACAGGCCCAAGTTGTTTGCATTACATTTCTTGGGTTAAAGAAGGGATTTTTTTTTCTTTCCTAAACCAGATACCTGAACTTTGCAGCATCTTTATGGAATATAGCTCATAAAATGTAGCCCAACCAAATGATCTCTGAGTGTGTGAAGACAGAATTAACACTACCCTTTTTTTTTCCTCCCCCATGACAATGGTTTTTAAGGAAATGCTCCCAAAGCCTAAAACTCAAACTTCTTCAACATGTAGGCAGACCTAAAGTCCTAAGAGGAAGCATGCAGGTGGGAAGGATTATCTCTTTCTCCTCATACCCGTATCCTTCTGGCCTAAATTTTGAGTGCCTTCTGGTTCTTCTCACCACCATACTGGGCCTCCTGAAGTGAGAAAAAGCAATGGGGGAGAAAGTTATGGGTTGCTTACCTAGCTGTTTCTTTCTGCCTAAAAAATTCCCCTCTGTAGAATATTTCTGCTTGAGCCTTAGAGGGCTTCTTCTTTTTTATTTTTTAACTTATATAATATATACCCTACCACTGAGGTTTTTAACACTAACCCTCTGTAATGAAGGGTTTCTAAGGATATGCAGTGTCTTTGAAATGGAGAAGAAAATGTGTTTCCTCCAGGAACTCATGGTTTTGACCAGATGATAGTCTGTTTGACCAGGCTTCCTAAAGGGTCTTTGATGGAAATCCCTTGCTTACTCTAGAAGTTCACCACTCAATCCAGTGTTTCACAGGGATAGATGCTGATGTGCTTCCTTTCCGGCTTATCCACGTTAGCCCTAGACGTTACTGTTTGAGAAACTTCCTCCCTAGTGTAAACATGCCGGATGTTGTGTTATATGTGATAGAAAAGAGACTTATATAGTAGTTATCTATCTGTTTGTTTATTTATTTTTTGGAGATGGAGTCTCACTCTGTCGCCCAGGCTGGAGTGCAGTGGTGCCATCTCAGCTCACCGCCTCTGCCTCCCGGGTTCAAGTGATTCTCCGGCCTCAGCCTCCCACATACCAAGTACCTGCCACCATGCCTGCCTATTTTATGTATTTTTAGTAGAGACGGGGTTTCACCATGTTGGCCAGGCTGGTCTTGAACTCCCGACCTCAGGTGATCCACCTGCCTTGGCCTCCTAAAGTGCTGGGATTACAGGCATGAGCCACCGCGCCCGGCCGTAGTTATCTATTTATAAGGGACATTTATATCTGATTGCTTGTTTTGCTAGAAGATTAAAATATATTTTGAAGCAAAAAGTTGACTTCCCGGATTTACTTTTAAACCACTAACCACAGTGTCTCTTGGTCAGCATTGGGAAGCTGTCCATTGAAAAGGCCTTGGATTTATCCCTGTACTTGAAACATGAAACTGAAATTATGCCCGTGTTTCAAGGTTTGAATGAGCTGATTCCTATGTATAAGTTAATGGAGAAAAGAGATATGAATGAAGTGGAAACTCAATTCAAGGTAAAAGCCTGAAATAAAAGTTATGTAATTATTATTTGTGTTAAAAAGTGTTAATCATTGTGTGTGTATGTGTGTGTGTGTGTGTGTGTGTGTGTGTGTGTGTGTATCTTTATATACATATTAAGGAAAAGCAAATAAATATTAGTTCAGTATTTAGATGGACTAGCAAGATTTTGGTTTTATTTGGCACTAAAAATAGGAATGGCATTCTTAGACTCTATTTAATTTGCATGGATTTGTTATTTCCTTCCTTTCACAAACCTTTTATTTCATTTTCCTTTCCTATTACAATGGCTGACGTTCAGATTTTCTGGGACTCTTCATGGTACTTGAGGAAGAGGCACAAAATTGTTATGCTTGGCAAAATGTCCTGAAGTCTTGTTGCATAATTTGCTCTCAAAATTTAGTCATGTAAACTCTCTTTGAGTTTGTTTTAAAAGTCGCAATTCATCCTGACTTTAAGTAGATGGATATCTTATAAAAGTTTGTTATGAAAATATGAAAGTCATTCATCATTATTTATTGTTTTTGGCCCTTTTATAATTAAACAGTGCTGCATGATTTATACAGTAAAAGTTAGATTATGCTTTAAAAATTAGCCCCCATCATCTGAGACCATAATGGATTATATTAACATGAAATGACCTGTGACAATACTGGTCCCTGTTTCCCTGTACAACGCCCTCAGGCCTTCCTCATCAGGCTGCTAAGGGACCTCATTGATAAGCAGACATGGACAGACGAGGGCTCAGTCTCAGAGCGAATGCTGCGGAGTCAACTACTACTCCTCGCCTGTGTGCACAACTATCAGCCGTGCGTACAGAGGGCAGAAGGCTATTTCAGAAAGTGGAAGGAATCCAATGGAAACTTGAGGTCAGTCCTTACTAAATAACCAATTTGTTGATGTGAAGGGCATCTTTTCTGTTTTCCATCATTGGTACTAAACATTAGGGAAAACAAAAAGTTTAAGTGTCTCCCCTGCTGCCCTTTTCTGGAAAATAAATTGCTTTTTAAGATTTATCTATGTATCTCGTAACTTTAAGAAATGCTAGGAGGGAACTTCTATGCATAAAAGTCAAATATCTGGGGAGTTAGGATGGTATGGGAATAATTCTCATTTTGTATAGGCAATGCAAAATCTTATTAAACGGTGACAGCCATGCCATAGAGAAACACATGCATTGTATTTTATAGTAGTTTCTTTGGGCTTCCAAATTCCCTGACAGGGATGCATAGTAATTGCTGACACTGTCTAAGCAAGGTAGGATTTTACCGTATCTGGAAATCCCTATTCTTGCTACACTTCAGTCCTTTTTACATTTGGAGCTTAAACCCCACCCAGGAAACATTTATGCCAACAACCTACATGCTTCAGCTTAAAGAAATCCAAACAGTGGTCCTACTGCCGTCCTGACTTGTGATCATGGTGTAAATTTTGAATATAGTTTGAATTTCTTTTGGCTTGAAAGGTGATCCCCTATGGAGTCACCCAGCATCATTAAAGTATTTAAATATGTAGGTATTTATAAAAATGGCATTTCACATTTTTGAGAAGGCTACTTAAAACCTAATTTTAGATATTTTTCTCTTGCCTTTTTTTTATAAAGTGTAACTAGGCCAGGCGCGGTGGCTCACGCCTGTAATCCCAGCACTTTGGGAGGCTGAGGTGGGTGGATCACGAGGTCAGGGGATCAAGACCATCCTGGCTAAGACGGTGAAACCCCGTCTCTACTAAAATACAAAAAATGAGCCGGGCATGGTGGCGGGCGCCTGTAGTCCCAGCTACTCGGGAGGCTGAGGTAGGAGAATGGCGTGAACCCGGGAGGGCGGAGCTTGCAGGAACCGATATCGAGCCACGGCACTCCAGCCTGGGTGACAGAGCAAGACTCCGTCCTAAAAAAAAAAAAAAAAAAAATTGTAACTGAAGGAAATCAGTAGTTTTTGTTTATATTTCCAGGCATGCTTCTCTGATCATGGGGAAAGTTCAGCAGTTCATAGTTAGTCACCATTATGCCTCTAAACATACTTACTGCACCTCAGATTCTCACCGAGTGTGTTCCTTTCTATAGCCTGCCTGTCGACGTGACCTTGGCAGTGTTTGCTGTGGGGGCCCAGAGCACAGAAGGCTGGGATTTTCTTTATAGTAAATATCAGTTTTCTTTGTCCAGTACTGAGAAAAGCCAAATTGAATTTGCCCTCTGCAGAACCCAAAATAAGGAAAAGCTTCAATGGTGAGTCCGTCATTCATTCATGTTCATGTGGCCAAGGGAAATTAGATTAGATTAGATCATTCTGGCATCTATTTTTGTTTTCTTGGCCAGGAATTGCCTATCCTGCTGGGAACATACTGCAAGTCAGCACACATCTAATGAGAAAGGCAAATAATTAGGGAGAACCAGGTGTTAGGAAAAATATTTAAAGGTGTATACATTTGTGCATCTTTAAAATGACAACATATTAAAAATATTTACTAGAGCTACTCTTCCTTAACTATTCTTTTGAGCAAATGAGAGGGTATATGAGAATGGGTGTTATGAACACTATATAAATGTTAGTTTTTATTATGTAGCTATAGTGGGTTTATCAGGATTGTGGTTACCCATTTATCTTTTTAACCTTTGTTACTGGCAGACTTTTTTTTCTTTTACAAGTAATTTTATTGCAGTGATTCATAACTGTTTCATCACCTATTCATTGCTAACATTTCTTTTCTTAATCCTTCTAGGCTACTAGATGAAAGCTTTAAGGGAGATAAAATAAAAACTCAGGAGTTTCCACAAATTCTTACACTCATTGGCAGGAACCCAGTAGGATACCCACTGGCCTGGCAATTTCTGAGGAAAAACTGGAACAAACTTGTACAAAAGTAAGTGGTGCCAAAAATTGTGCTGTGACTGGATAAGTTCATAACCTTACTGTGTTTTAGCCTTGCTGTTTGTAAAAGAACAGTAACAGTCTAAAGGTACTTTTTGATTGAAGATAGGCAGTAGAAATACCTAAAATATTTGTAGAAAACATAAAACTGGACTTCAGTGCTAACTAGTGAATCTGGACAGGGATGTTTTCCATTCCATCTGGCATAACCCCTTCCTGAGCCCATGGACATATCTGAAGCCTTCCTCCTCACAGTTCAGCCCAGGCCTTCCATGAACACATTTGCTTGTTCACATCTGTCTTTGTCTAACTCTTATAGCATTTCCTGCTTCTGTCATTTTCTGTTGGATACTTAACCTTTTATTAGGCTGTTGGTGTGTATTATTCTTTACAGCTAGATCTTAACCCATTGGATAGACATCATATTTTGTATTTTTCACACCGATCAGTTTTTAGCTGAAAGCTATTATATATAGGAGGCCCTTAAAATATATGTTAAATGAATAAGTATTTCACAACCCGTTTTTGAATATTTCCCTCTCTAGGTTTGAACTTGGCTCATCTTCCATAGCCCACATGGTAATGGGTACAACAAATCAATTCTCCACAAGAACACGGCTTGAAGAGGTAAAAAAAAAAAATCTATATATATATTTTTAAACATAAATGAAAATTAGCTAATTAATATGGGGTAGACAAAATACTTTGAGGGTGTGGTGAGTTAGAAATGGATTGTCATTTAGAAGTTATTTTTGGATGCTATGGTGTTGACAGCAGCATAAATCAGTTGCAATTAAACTAGTGAAAACTGTGCCTCTTCTCAGACACGTTAAGAGGTCTTAGCTCTGCCAGTAAAAACCTTAGGACTTGAAGAAAATTACTTGAGACAATTAGTCCTTGTTTAAGGATGTTAAAAGTGGGCACTGAGGTATAAATGACTGAAGTGGTCATCCAGCTGTTGCTAAAGAGGCAGGTCCGGAATCTAGGTTCTTTATAAACCATCCAAGTTCATGGTTCCCTGTCACTTATTATGTAACCATCTACCTTCAGAAAGAATTTCAGGCAGCTTTAAGATCCATGTATAAAAGAAATGTTAAAATGAAGGACAAAAAGATACATAATGGACAGGTGATAACCATGTGAGGGACTTATGGCTGAGGATAATTCTCGCAATTGTCCCCTGAATTTATCACAGACATTCCTGGAAGTCAAGGAAAAATGAGGAATCAGTATGAGTTATTCTCATTGTCTGGTAAAAGAGAACATGAAGCATACACATTTTCTACAAAAGCAGACTTTTCTTCAGTCCTAAACTCGAGGACTTTGATGTGTGGGCCATTGAGTTCTGTGGTGTCCCTTCTATAATAAGGTTTCCTATAGTAAAGTTGTGGAACAAATTTTACAAGGCTCTTAAACTGTGGTACATTTAGATAAAAGCTGAGAGGCTAATATTAATTTTTTTAGGAGTGGTTCCATTGTGTAGTCTGGTTACACTATTTTCTAGCTTGAGATGGGGAGAGAGCTTTGGAAATGAAAAAGAATGAAGGGTTGTTACAGTCTCGTAGCTTTTTTCCAGTTTTCAGTAGCCTCATCCAGGCTTGTAAAATTAACTTGCATATAATAATTCAAGCTTGAACTCCAGCGAGGTCTAGAGCAGAGATACTCTGTCTGATGACTGAAGAGATGTCCAAAGCCTTGACCAGAAAGGTAGTCATCTATAGACAAGATCTATAGCAACAAAGCATTTCATTCATTCACTTGTATTCTCATTAATTCATTCAAGACATATATGCCACACATGGTTTTAGGTTATGGGGCTGTAACAGTGAACAGACAGACAAAACCTTTGCTGTCACGGAGCTGAAATTTCTGCTGTGGGAATCAGACAATTACAGACAAATCAACCAATGTCAAGTAGTTACATGCTCTGAAGATGAATAAGGCAAGGAGAGTGATTGGGATAGAGGGTTGGTGCTGTTTTATAGGATGATTAGGAGACATTTGAGAAGATATCGAAGGAAATGCCAACATCTAGAGGAGTATTGTGTGCAGAGGAAATATCAGGTGCGAAGATCCTGAAGCAGGGCATGAAAAGTAAAGAGCCCGAGATGTTATCATAATGGAGAGCAAACTACGGACATATAAAATACGGGAGTCATCCTGAATCCTTTCTTCCCCAGACATCTAACTACGCAAGTCCTGCCGGTCTTCCCTCAGCACATGCACTGGATCTTGCGCACTTCTCTCTGCTCTTACCCCCATTCAATCCTTTCTCATCTCTTGCCTTGCCTATTGCAATAGTGTCCTAACTGGCCTCCCCCTTGCCACTTTGCCAATAGCAAAACATTTTCCACATTGAAGACTGCAAGTCAGCCCATAACTGACCCTGGCTTCTTGAAACCCTGCCTATTGTTCTTGCAGTAAATTCCAAATCCCTCCTTCCCATGTGTCCATGACCTTGAAGACCTGGCTTCTGAGGACCTCTCTGGTGCCAATTCCCACAGGCGCTCCTGGCTTACTCTCTCATAACACTGTAGCCACTCAGCCTCCTTCTGCTCCTGGGCTACCACATGTTTCTCCTGTCTTTAAGCCTCTGCACTTTTTATTCTCTCTGCCTGGCTTGCCCATTCCCCAACTTTTCACTAGAAAGGGGCATTTTATCTTTGAGAGGTCTCGGCTCAGATCACCTTCCCCAAAACCATGCTGTTCAATGCAGGCCACATCTCCTCAGTTACTAGCATACCCCTGGCATATTTTCTTCATAGCAGTTTATTTACAGTAATCATATTTACTGCTTGTATACCCCAAAAGACTGTAAGCTCCATGAGGGGAGGATGCTTGCCTGATTCACTGCTGCATCCTCAGTGTCTAGCACAGTAATTACAGCAGAGGGATGAATAAATATCAGAGTAAATATTGGTGAACAAATGGATGAGGTTAAGTCCCTGATACATGCTGGGTTTGGGGCTTTGCACTTTACCTGCATTATATAACTACATCCTTCACCACTGCTCTTCATTTTACAAATGAGGAGACTGGCTTCCATAGAAGTTAAATCATTTGCTCAAATCAAGTTAGTAGGATAAACCTGTTTTCCTATCCCTGTATTGTGCTACTTATTGCACAGAAATTGTTCTTAAAGAGCCAAGTCTGAATCAAATATTCAGTGGAGATGTTGCATTTCCAAGGCAGGTGAAGACAGAAGAGATGATTTTGGGTCAGGACAAGGGTAAGAGTAATGGTTAACAGCTGGCTTCGCTGTTGTAGAAGGTCTGTTTTTAGTGGAGCTATCATGATGAGCTCCTTTAGGATTAATGATTTGAACAATTAGTAAAATTATTGATGTGCTTTGTTGAGTAGTGCTCAGTGATTTTTAATCGACTGTGAATTAATCTTGCATTCTGAGAGCGTATGAAACAGTAGGTTGAGCTACAACTTAAAGTAGAGAGTGAAGTGTTTTCCAGGTTGCTACAGCAGGAGGCCATGCCTTCTGCTCATTGTAAAGTTGCACTGTATTGACATATAATTTTAAAACAACTCTGCATCATTTAAAATTGAATTCTGATCTTTCTAAAACCCATTCCTACTCCCCTCTTTATTCCCAAACTAATAATATGGTATTATGACATGGATTTCTAAGGAACTGGCTGTCTGGAATCTATGCTGAATAAATAATACATCATGGTCTACATTCGCTTCCTGAATACCAAATCAAAAATTGATGGATTAATGCTGTGAAAATTTATGGGAAAAGGATAATAACCCTTTAAGGTGAAACAGAATCGCACAATGGTCAATCTTGTGGCAAAGCCAGCCTATCTGTCATGTGAGCTCAAGGGGTGAATTAAGATACCCACAAATGAAACAAGAACAAACATATTTTTCAGGAGGTAGCCAAGAGTTTCTTATCTCTTTAAAATCATGGGGAACTTTATGTGGATTTTATCTTGAGACAACAATACATGAATTGTAGATTAGGATAAAAAAAATGGCAAGGTTTGGGTCTTACCGCCATAACTTGCTAAGAATCCCATTCCCCACAGTGTTTCTATAATAACATACAAGGCCAGGCCCATGGAGAAAGACAGCACTTACGTGGTGGAAACTGTTTTGCTTGGCAAAGAAAAGACTCTGCACATTCTGCTTTTTAGATATCATGTTTTTAAAAAACGAAGTTTGCATCTGTGAGAACAGAACAGAATAACACATTAAATAGACACAATTAAACCTTAATTATAAAATGGTAAACAGTGAAGTCTTTTAAAGTCTGGCAACTGAGAATAAACAAAAGAACTGCAGACAAAAAACAGAACTTGACATCATGAGGCATGAGCTCATTTCATACAGCTTATGTGTACATAATCCTATTCAGACAGCTGGGACTGCCTTCTATATAGAATTTTGACAAATGCTGGAATTTTGGCTTCAGTTTTAACTAAAGTTACATCTGATTAATGTGATAAAATTAATTTTTTAAAACCCACTTTTTCCTCACAAGGTAAAAGGATTCTTCAGCTCTTTGAAAGAAAATGGTTCTCAGCTCCGTTGTGTCCAACAGACAATTGAAACCATTGAA